>NW_003315917.2:600000-779564 GCF_000001405.40 Homo sapiens
GTTAGTCCATTAAAGTTCTTTTCCTTATAAATTACCCAGTCTCGGGTATTTCTTCATAGCAGCATGAGAACAGACTAATACACACTTCAATATTGATTTACATTTCTATGATCATCAGTGATCTTGAGTATTTTTTAATGTTTGTTGGCAACCTGCATGTCTTCTTTTGATAAATGTTTGTTTATGTCATTTGCCTACTTTGTAATGACATAATGTGTTTATTATTTATTGGGTTCCATGTAGATTCTGGATATTAGTACTTCGTTAGATGCATAATTTGTGAATATTTTCTCCTGTTCTGTAGGTTGCCTGTTTACTCTGTTGATTATTTCCTTTGCTGTGCAGAAGATTTTTAGTTTACTTAGGTCCCATTTGCCTATTATTATTTTTGTTTCATTTGCTTCTGATGACTTAGTCATAAATTCTTTGTCAAGGCTGATATTCAGTAAAGTTTTCCTAGGTTTTCTTCTAGGAATTGTATAGGTTTTTACATTTGAGTATTTAATCAATCTTGAGTTAATTTTTATATATGGTGAGATATAGGAATCCAGTTTTACTCTTGTGTATACGGATATCCATTTTTTCTAGTACAATTTATTGAAAAAGGTATCCTTTCCACATTGTTTATTTGTGCACGCTTTGTTGAAGATTAGTTGGTTGTAGGTATGTGGCTTTATTTCTTGGTTCTCTATTTAATTTTATTAAACTATGTATCTGTTTTTGTATTGGTACCATGCTGTTCTTGTTACTATAGGTTTGTAGTATAATTTGAAATGGGGTGAAGTGCTGACTCCAGCTTTGTTCTTTTTGCTTAGAATTGCTTTGGCTATCTGGGTCATTTTTTCAATTCAGAATTTCATATACACTTTGGGATTGTTGTTTTCTAATTCTGTGAAAAATGACATTGGTAGTTTGATAGAAATTGCACTGAATCTTTAGATTGCTTTGGACACCATGGTCATTTTTAATTTTTTTTAATCCATGAACATGGGATATTTTTCCATTAGTTTGTTTTATTTCAGGTTTCTTCCACCCATCTTTTGTAGTTCTTATTGTAGAAATATTTTACCTCCTTGGTTAAACGTATTTCTCAGTTATGTGTGTGTGTGTGTGTGTGTGTGTGTGTGTGTGTGTGTGTGTGTGTCTATTGTAAATGAGATTGAGTTCTTGATTTTGTTCTCAGCTTGAATATTATTGCTATATAGAAATACTACTGACTATTGGACATTGACTTTGTATTCTGAAACTTTATTGCAGTCTTTTGCCAAGTCTAGGAGTCTTTCAGAGTCTTTAGGGTTTTCTTTGTATAAGACCATGCCATCTCTTAATGTAACTTCTATCCCAACTTTTGTGGTAATTTTTTTCTTGCATTTTTCATAATTTTATTTTCTAATTTGTTTATCCAGAAATACCATTTAGTTCTGTTTGGTATTAGACTTGAAAACAGTGCAAATTTTCTTTCTTAATAAATAATGAAAATAAATTTCGTTTTTGAAATTCATCCATGTTTTTGCTTAGTTCATTCATTTTTACTGATGTATTGAGTAGTCTTAAGTTACCAATTTCATTTTTAATAGTTATGCTTTTTCCAAAAATTTTATAATAATTAGTAGTTTTATCATGACTATTCCTATATACATATTCATATAAATGCATAACCAAGAGTGCAATTGCTCATTTGGAGGGCATGCCATCTTTAGCACTATGACTATTAAATAAATTGTTTGCATTGATTAAGAGAGTGATATTCCACATCATCACCAGGACTGTGGATTGTCAGACATTTTAAGTAACTGTGGCTCCCCATACAGGATAACTTGGTTAAACTTGCTATTCACTTGGCATCCCTAGCATTATATTATTGTCATCATAAGAATGGAACCCAAAGTTCTGGAGTTTTTAATCAATTATTAAACAACAATTAATCGAATAGCGTGTAAGTTCCTAACCTTGTGCTAGCCGTTGTCCTACGTTTGTGATAAGAATAGATAAAGTGCCCTTCTACCTAGCAGTTTAGACAATAAACAAGGAGAAAAGAAATTAAATGTGTATTGTATGATAGCAGGTTAGTGATAATCACTAATAATCCAATGAGTTTATATGATACCAAAATATTGATTAGATCAGGAAATCACTGCTAAAGAGGAAACATTATTTATCAGTATGTTTATAACAGATGGAGCAATGAGTATAAAAGTCATGTGTTAGGGTATGCAAGATGATGATATAGAGCAGAGTAATCAAGGCAAAGGATAATGGTAGGTGGAGAAGCCAGCTTATAGTTCTGAGCAAGATTATATCTTTAGCTTTTATTAGGCATGTAAATGAAATACTTTTGAGATTTTCAGCTGGAAAAATGAAACTAATGTGAAATGCATTATATTGCCAGAGATGACTTCCATTGCCTGGTGGGGAAGAGACTGGAGGAAGGATGGATAATGGCAGCACACAGATGCTGCTGAGAAGCTATTTTAGTAGTTCATGTAAGAGACAATTGTCAAATTTGCAATAAACTTCCAGGTGAAATGGAATTGACTTTCTAATGGCTTGGAATGGTGTATATAAAACAGCTGGTAATGACTCCATGTTTTGAAGCTTTAGAAAATAGATTAATAATGGCTCAAATTACTGAGTGAAAAATTACTGGGAAAGAAGCAGGATTGGCAGGATGCAGATAAAGAATTCTCTTTTACTTACTAAGGTTGAGATGCCTATTTGATATTCAAGGCAGTCGCAAATGAGATGAGTGTTCAGGAATGAGATATCAGCTAAAGATATAAATTTTAGTCTTGTGCCCATATCTTAGCTGCAAGGAAGGATTTTATGAACTGCTGGTGAGACTGTAAATCAGTGCAATCAACGTAGACAAAGAAATAAATGCATACACCATGTCATCTTGTAATAACTCCCAACCCCCAACACCTAAAGAAGAGACTGTGTGTTTAAGTTGGGAGTGTATTGTGGAGTAAGAATAAGAAACAGGATGGGTGCTATAGGGAGAGAGAGTAAAATCTAGAACACATTATTAAGTTAGGTGATGGAATACTATATGACCATTCACTGAAGTGAAACAACGGGGGAAATATGTATCCATCAGCTCTAGGAGTTCCATTTTTCAAGCATAGCCTCATGGATGCTAACTTCTCGATGTGTCTAGACAGTGCATTTATGAGTAACAAGCAAAATGCCTACAACAATCCACACAACATTGTCTGAGAAATCCCGCAGCAGAAAGTGAATTCTTGCTCTGGTCTGAAGCCACATACTATCACTTCCATCTTTATGAAACTGACCAAAGTCTACATAAAAATAGTAACCAAGGCTCTGACTGGAACAAGAGGTAATGCTGAGAGGGTCTGCAGTGATGTAAGATCCAATACACCCTATGATTTTTAAATTTTGTTCCTGGGTTTATATCCTAGAGAAACTCTGACATATATATGTGTATATATATATACATTCATATATATACACATTTAATATATATATACACACATACACATTCATAGCAGCTTTTTGTTGAAATAGCAAAAAATGAGAAAAAAACTAAATGGCAATATAATGAACAAAAGGGAGCTGTGTTTTGATATTTTTATATAGTACAATGCTAAACAGCATTTAAAATAATTGATAAGAATTATATGGGCCAACATAGATGGACATCATCAATGTCATATAAAACAAAATAAAGCAGAAGGTAGATAGACACTTTTTTTTTGAGTCGGAGTTTTTGCTCTGTTGTCCAGGCTGGAGTGCAGTGGCGTGGTCTTGGCTCACCGCAACCTCCGCCTCCCGGGTTCAAGCAATTCTCCTGCCTCAGCCTCCTGAGTAGCTCGGATTACAGGCACCCTCCACCACGCCTGGCTAACTTTTGTATTTTTAGTAGAGACAGGGTTTCACCATGTCGGCCAGGCTGGTCTTGAACGCCTGACCTCAGGTGATCCACCCACTTAGGCCTCCCAAAGTGCTGGGATTACAGGCATGAACCACCACGCCCTGATGATAGACACGTTTTTAACTTCTAAAAATATATGATCATGATTGTGTCTGTGGAGACTTGCACATATACTAAATTTTAAACAATTAGAGATATTTGTTCATTACCACATTTTGGGAGTCATTATTTCCTCTATGAAGAGAGAAAGGAATTTGATACAAGTTCACAGGGGCTTCCAGTAGATTGAGACTTTTATTTCTAGCTGAGCTGCTGATGTATGAATTTTTTTTGTTATTATGACTTTCATATGTATTAAAAATAAAATGAAAAAACAAGGATTAGGTGAGGAACCTATACGTCTCTAATATGCAAAATACCACAGAAATAATGACTGTTGGGAAATTAGGCCTTAGCTCTGATGTTTGAACCATCCCCTCAATGTTTCCCAGTGCTTCTTAGAGTATTTTGATCACCTCTGTGTTGGTGCTTTAGAACTAGAGAAGAACGTTTTGTTAACTTTTTTTTTTTTTTTTTTTTTTTTTTGAGACAGAGTTTCACTCTTATTGCCCAGGCTGGAGTGCAGTGGCACAATCTCGGCTCACTGCAACCTCTGCCTTCTGGATTCAAGCGATTCTCCTGCCTTGGCCTCCAGAGGAGCTGGGATTACCTGCCACCACATCTAGCTAACTTTTTGTATTTAGTTGGTCGGGCTGGTCTTGAACTCCTGACCTCAGGTGATCCACCCATGTCAGCCTCCCAAAGTGCTGGGATTACGTGTGTGAAACACTGCACCTGGCCTTTTGTTAACTTTTAGTTTAAGTTCAGCAGTACACGTGCAGGTTTGTTATACAGGTAAACTCGTGTCATGGGGATTTGTTGTACAGGTTATGTTGTCACCCGGGTATTAAGCTTAGTACCCATTAGTTACTTTTCCTCAACCTCTCCGTTTTCCCACCCGCTACTCTCAGGTAGGTCCGAGTGTGTGGTGTTCTCCTCTATGAGTCCATGTGTTCTTATCACTTGGCTCACATTTATAAATAAGAACATGCTGCATTTGTTTTTCTGTTCCTGCGTTAGTGGGAGCTGAGGATGGGTGGAGCTGAGGATAATGGTCTCCAGCTCCACCCATGTTCCTGCAAAGGACATGATCTTGTTCTTTTGTATGGATGAATACTATAAAGTCTTCCAAACTGTTTTGGTTTTGGTTTGTTTTCTTTCTTGAGAAAGGAAAGACAAAACAGAAATAAAAGAGTAGGCCGAGCGGGGTGGCTCACGCCTGTAATCCCAGCACTTTAGGAGGCTGAGGCAGATGGATCACTAGGGGTCAGGAGTTTGAGACCAGCCTGAACAACATGGTGAAATCCCGTCTCCACTAAAAATACAAAAAATCAGTCAGGCATGGTGGCACATGCCTGTAATTCCAGCTACTAGGGAGGCTGAGGCAGGAGAATCGCTTGAATCTGGGAGGCAATGGGTTGCAGGGTGTGCTGGGATGGCACCACAGCCTGGGTGAAAGAGTGAGACTCTGTCTCAAAAAAAAATAATAAAATAAAAAAGGGAGAGAGAAAGAGTACCAATGTATGGCAGAAATCAAGAGAAGAGTTTGCTTTTTTGAATAACTACACCCTGGACATTAGTTTCAAGAAACCGTCTGCTGGAAATATAACTATATGTTTAAGTTGACGGATCATTATTACACGTAGCAGAAAGAAAGTCACTCCTTGCTAGAAAGCCCTGTGTAGGTCATTAGGCATCACAGTGTGGAGTTATCTAAGCAAGCACCAAGGTAGGATATCTGAATAACTGATTTATTTCCATGTTTACTGACAATATTCATTGCAACAAGTCAGTAGAGAAACAGTAAAGAGGGCAGGCATGGCTATGCTTCTATAGAATCTAGTGAAGAGGAGATAATTTCAAATAACCCAAGAAGGTAAATGAGTAGTCAAATTTTCAAAAGGACTATTAACTCACAAACAGGAAACTATAATAGAAAATAGTTGGTTGAAGGCAGAATGCCCAGTTCAGAAAAGATTCCTCTGAAAAGCAATATATAAGCATAGACTTCGAGGATGAAGAGTCACTCATTTTGAAAGAGCAGATGAAGAAAGTTTCAGGACAAAGAAACAGCCATCTGCAAAGACCTCAACAAAGATATCACACAGAAAATGCTGTATTTAATCTGTTGCTAGACAAAAGTGAGCTACGGATCACATGGTCTTGGATGAGGGAGACAGATGATATAGTTTGGATGTCCCGCCCAAATCTCATGTTGAAACCAGATCCCCAGTGCTGAAGGTGGAGCTTGGTGGGAAGTGTTTGGATCATGAGGTCGAATCCTTCGTGACTTGGTGCTGTCTCCATGGTAGTGCACCTACCCCAACACACTCTCTCTCTCTTGTTCCTGCTTTCACCATGTGAAGTGCCTGCTCCTGCTTTGCCTTCTGTCATGAGTAAAAGCTCCCTGAGGCCTCTCCAGAAGAAGATGCCACTGTGCTTCCTGTACAGCCTGCAGGACTGTGAGTCAATTAAACATTTTTATAATATCCAGTCTCAGATATTTCTTCATAGCAATACAAGAACAGCCTAATATAACAGATAAGCAGGGACTAAAGTCATCAAAATTAGAATTGTGCATTTAATTTTGATTGCATTTAATTTTCATTGCATTTAATTTTGATTGCATTGAAAAGGCAGATGCTTTGAGGCTAGAATGAGGTAATAACTGTTTTGTTTTGTTTTGTTTTGTTTGCTCTTAACAAATTAGTCTGACTTCAGTCCATAGTAAATTGGAGAGGAACTGGTAGAACATAAAAGAACTGGTAAAAAGCCATTGTAAACACTCAAGTTTCAAAAACAATTTTGTGGTAAGGGCAAATCCTCAGGTCAAGAAAAGTGTGTTACTAAATTCCGTTAGTTTCCAGAAGAAAGATAAAGTCATATGACACAGATTTTACTCCTTACGTTAGAGAGTGTGCTAAGGATACCACCCACATTTTCCAACATTTATTTCCATCATGTTTTATGATCTTCATCTATATTCCATCCTCGTTATTTCTAGCAAGTCTATGAAATTTCTTACATTAATAGAAATAATGTATTAATATTCAGCAATGTGCTAAACATTGTTGAAACATTGTCTCAATATTACTCTTGGAAGAGCTCTAAGGTAGACAATATTTCCAATATATGAGTCATGAGGAAACTGAGGAATGGAAAGATTAAACAACTTGTTGAGGGTAGCATAATTGTAAATGGTGAAGACATAATACAAATCCTAATATCTATGACTCTAATGCTTTAAAAAATCATTATATACACTACGCTGTCTCTGATGTGTGAATCTACCCACTTCTAATTCATTATAACAAGTATTTGTTGCCAGGTAGCATTCCGGGCTTTGGGGATACATCTTTGGAAAAGCTTACAGAAATCTCTGTCCTCAGGGAACTAATATTCTAGGGACTATACAATAAACAATAAGCAAAAATGTAACATGTATAGTGTGTTAGACTGTAGTAAGTACAATGGCAAAAAATTAAGAATGGAGAATGTCTAAGGGGACAGATTGTTTGGAATTTGAATAAAGTGGCTATGGAAAACCTCACTGGGATAATGGCATCTGACCAAAAGCATGAGGAAGATATAGAACAAACCGTATCTGTTGCATGTTTAGTAATAACCAAGAAAATACTGTACGTGAAGCTGAGTGAGAAAATTACATAGTGGAAGGAGGGAAGTCCATAGAAGAATTGGGGGCTTCATGTGGTGGAGCATCTATAAAGCATTGTGCAAGACTCTGACTTTTACAATGAATGAAACGAGAGATCAGAGTTTTACACAGAAAAAGGTAATAACCTGATACATGTTTTAAAGTGATTATACAAATTGCTCTTTTGAGGATGTACTGAAGGGTGCCTTACGCAGAATCAGAAACACCTGTTTGCTGGCCATTTCAATAACCTGGGCAATAAATGATGGTGGTTAGCACCAGGATGCTAGTGGTGAAAGTAGCAAAAATGATCAGAATTGAGCTGCATTTTGAACATACAGTTAATAAGTTCTGTGGCATGACAGAAAAATGATTCCATAATATTTCTATTGAGCAACCTTGTTGATGTGATATTCAAACTAAGTCCTAATATTAAACAATGTAGGAATTTCAATGAAAATATGACCAAAGGGAGAAAATGGCTCCCAACCTACTGTAATTAAAGTTCCCTTCTGTTGTTTTAAAATGCTACTATGGATAGAGAAAACAAGATATGGATTTGGAAGAAAATTACCCACAGTCTAATTGTCAGATTTATTGACTTAAAGATGTTACATGGCAATAAAGTTGAAAGAAAAATAAGAAGAAATTCTAAAAGCCAGCATGTTAGATTTATTCCCTCCACAAAAAGAATTGCTAATATTTATAAAGTGAGATAATAGGCCAAATACTTGTACTTGGCATAATTGCATTTTCTCAACAAATCCTATATAATCAACATTGTTTTATTTGTATATGTGTGAAAAATCATGACACCTGCAGTTTAAGTTACATTTGTATGAAACAGTCAATATGTGGCAGAGCCAGAATAAAGCCCACGTTTAGATTAAAGGAATTCTCTTTCCATTGCACCCACCCGTATTGCCTGTGGAAACCCTAAACAAGCCATTTAAATTTGTTGGAATTCCGTTTTTCAACTTTTTAAAACCTCTTAAGAGTCCAGTCCTAAATCAAGTTAATGTTTAAATTCTTCACTTATGCTTAGTATGTACATTATTCCAAAATGTGAATTGGTCCCAAATATCATATTCATTCTAACAGAGGACATTAAAAGTTTAAAAGATATCTGTTATATGGCTGAACTGATTATATTTTATCGGAAAGTGAAAGGAACGGAAAGGAACTACTCAGCATATTTCTAATGAGTATACAGAGGAAAAGTACTTTGCCTCATTTAATTTTGTAAAATCTCTCTCTGGCACATAATTCACAGTCTTTTTTTGCCCACAGGAATAGTGAGGCAGATATGTATTAATTCATGTCATAATACAAGAATAGGTAGCGATAAAACACTGGCATTTTCCAAATTGCCAGTATAAAGAATTGCCAGAAGAACATGGGTATTAGCTTCAGATTCTCCAAGGGGTTAACATTTATGTTATCTGTTAAATATGAATTATGTATTAACTTCTCATATTTCATATATAAAACTTTATGCTTTGGTCCTGTTCCTCGGGATGACCTTGATGTAATCAGAAATAATAGTGTTCTTTACCAAAGACATTAATCAATAACTTTATAATACGAAGCACTATGAATATTTAATGGCTTCAGCTTGAATAATTCAAATCCCGTATTACTAAAAAATAAAGTCAGTTGAGTGACTGAGAGTTCCATATTCCACAATTCCTACTCTGCTTACTACCTATTCTATTTACTATTCTCTTTACTATTTGAGAAGGGTATGGAGTTGTGTATGTTGCAAACATCACGTAACTTTTGTTCGACTTTCTTGAACACGTCATATTATTTTTTTTAGTTCATTTTCTGAATATAAGTAATTTTTGGTGAATTAATACTTTAAACAAGAGTTCACCTGGAAAGCAGTAGGCAAAATTTCATTAAAAATATTATTTTATTAACATACCTTAAAAATGTAATAGGACAATGCCTCAAAGAACAATTTCAAAATAAAAACACAGAAAACAAATGACCAGCAAAATTGCTCTGAAGTCTTAAAAACAGAAATAAATACTTCAATAATCATAGGTAATATGGAAATCCAATGTATGACTTACCTATAGAAAACCCTTCTGGAATTTCATTTAAATCTAACGTCAATATGAGCTATGTAGGAAGTCCATTAATAAATAAGAATATTATATAGGTACACATGTATATATTAATTTTAAGCCATATGCAGCCCTATTTGAAAATGTTAAAAAAAATCATCAGGATTAGTCCATACTGATTATTAAAAAATAAAATTGTCACTGCTCATTGTAGAAGATAAATGTCAGCTGTGCAGCAGATGTGTTTATAGCCACCCAGTAATCCTATCGCCTCAATAATGCATTTCCCTTTTTTTAGTTAAAAACTTAATTACATTAAGAAACTGTATGTGTTTAGGAATATGAATATAGAAGGAGTAATCATCGTTTAGTAAAATAAGTTTTACTTGCATATTAAAATTTACTGTGTTTGTGAAGATGCTGATAGTACATTACATATGGAGATCCAAGTGCACATAGTCACTAATTCTTTAAACTATGTTTGATATTAGTAATAATTTACTTTACATATATATCGGAATTTAATTGAAAAATAGTAAATGACTGCTAATATACATTATTCTTCTGAGTTGCATTTTTGCTTAATGAAATAGAATTTTTAAAAAAATTGTTTATCTTTATTCCTACTAGATTATACATTTCATGAGAAAAGCATTATCTCTTTATTAGTATATTTGTTTACCTGTATTAGAACTTGACTTTGAAATAAACCAGATATAATACCATTGTTGTAGATGTATTTATTGTAGTAAAAATAATATTCTGCATCTGAGTTTTGAGCAAGGAGATTTTACAGTCTCCTTTCAGTTAGAAAACTACAAGACCCTCTTAACTGATGTTGGAAATGTAAGTAAAGAAGATAAAAATTAAAATGATAAAGAAAAGCATTTGGGGTATAGTAGCACTGTGCTTCCCAGGAGAATGAGTTGTTAAGTGCTCACTCCGCATTTTTCAGTAACATATACTTAAAGTAAGCACACAGGGGCTACAGACGCTATTTTTTGGTTCAACATGACCTGAGCAGTTAATTATTTGTAAAGGGAAGAAGCAAGAATAGGCTCAGGGAGGGAGACAGAGAAAGACTGGGTAGGGCGGGGAGGGAGGGAGAGTTTCACCTGTATCTAAAACAGATCAGAAGCAATTTCTTCCTCCAACTCCTCACTTGTCTATTTCTACTAATAAAGAGCAAAACCAGACAAAATAGATTATTGTGTCATTTTTGTTTTCTTATTTTGTAATACACAGAAAAACTCAAGCTGGAGACGGAAATGAACAGATGCACATGGCTGGAAAGACTCAGTGCTAATCTCTACAATGTTGTTTTAATAGAATGGAGACAGGACCACATACTTTCTTACAATAATGAGGATCAATAAAGACAAAACTGACACTTTGTAATGAATAATGATCTGAACACTCACCTGAGAAAGTATCTCTTTGTTGCAGGTTTTTGGAAATGGGCTATATTTTTTGAATCATAACCGATATGTACTGCCATAAACAAGAGGATTTCAAGCCAGCTCCATCTGGTCGAAAATTATTTTATTTATTACTAAGAGAAAAGTGTAAGACAAGTCCTGTGGTAAAAACAGATTTATTGCCTCTGCTATTCACCTGTGTTATTTCTTCATATATTACCATTGACATATATTATCCATTCTTCACAGCAATGGCTTTGCCGTGGCAAATTAAATATCTCATTGTCCTTCTCTGTCCATTTTACATTATAATGTTTCTGAGCAGACTTTTATAGCTCTCTCACAGAATTATAGCAAGTCTTTAAATAAAAACAAAATTGAAACAAAAATTTTAGACTCAACTTAAAATCCCTCTTTATTTTATAATTTGGATTTTTAAGTAAAATATGCTATATCCTATTTAACGAGAACTTTCATATGTAATGTATCAATGGAATTATCTAAAGCTCATTTGGTTTTGCATAAAAACACAATTAGAGTAAAAACATTCTAAAATAGACACTGGAATAAAAACAATGAAAGCAAAACTATTAATTTTACATTTTTCATTCAAGTATTTTGATTTTTACTATATTATATTATTATATTAGGTATCAGAGTAATCATTGATCGCTTTCAAAACCCTGCTCCTTTCTAGGTGCAATGAAGAATTTTTATTTTATTGAAAAGTTATCTTAAGATGTAAGACTTGTGAATGATAGTAAAGATTTAGTAGACCCAATGTATTCTCAGATAAATGTAAAATAAGCAAGATATGAATTAAAGGATAAATATAGAGTTTAACAGCATAGATCTTAAAATCCATTATCATAAGGTAGAAGGATGTATAATTTATCATGATTAAAATATACTAAATATTCATATCACAGCATTCTGATTTCTGATATCTACAATTTAGGTGACATATATACATATGTGTGTATGTATATATAACTGTATTATTTGATATTTTAAAAGATAAAAGAGTTATATATTCAAATACCAGTATAGATGTTGCTCTGAAAGTATTGTTAGATGAGATTAACATGAAAATCAGTAATTTCTGAGAAAAGCAGATTATTTTCCAAAATATTGTAGGGCTCATCCAGTCAATTGATTATATTAAAAGACTGAGATCCCTCAAGGAAATAATTCTGCCTGCAGATTGCCTTTCGACTTGAGACTGTAACATCAACTTTTCTCTAGGTCTCTTGCTTGCTAGCCTACCCTGCCAATTTTTTATACATTAAAAAATATTTTTCTCAAATATTGTAGTTCTGCTATTTCCAGAAACGCTTGAGGATTGTACTTCCAAGTTCTTTTAAAGTTGATCATCGTCATGAAACTCATCATCAAATGGCATTTGAGCAAAATCTTTATTAATTAAACATGAGTGGAAGTTTAAAGGCCAAAGCACAACTCACTCAGGCATTGTGAACTATGTGTGCAGACAGATCACAACTCATCCTTGGTCTCTGGGTGTGTCTGCGTCTATTACTGACTTACCCTGGATATGTAAAATGAATAAGAAAAACTTTTTGTGTTAGCCACTGGGATTTTTGGTTTGTGTATTACTTTAGCATATTATCTCATTTTGAATGCTATAGTTTAGGACACTAGTTTAAACTACTGAAGTTAAAATGTTCTCCTTATTTCAGAGGAGAGAAGGATCTTACAGTGACAGACATCCATTAGTAAGAATTAATTTCTAGAGATAAAGTGAATTCAGTAACCACAGTGTCAGTAGAGTCAGCATGGTCAAAATAGTCTACATGGGAAATGTTTGGTGGCTCTTAGTTGATCATGGAGTCTCTAGAACCAAAAGTTATGAATGCCAATTAAGTTTCGATTTGGCTTATATGATCTCAAATCTTCAGGTTTACAAAACATATCTTGAGCCACCACCCAGCTCTGTCACCCAGGCTGGAGTGCAGTGGCACCATCTCAGCTCATTGCAGCCTCCGCCTCCGAGGTTTAAGCGATTCTCATGCCTCAGCCTCCTGAGTAACTGGGACTACAGGTGCTCACCACCATACAGGGATGTTTTTTCTATTTTTTTGGAGAGACACGGTTTCACCATGTTGGCCAGGCTGCTCTCGAACTCCTTACCTCATGATCCGCCCACCTCGGCCTCCCAAAGTGCTGGGATTACAGGCGTGAGCCACGGCGCCCAGCCCATTTTTTCTTTTCACCCACCTCGGCCTCCCAAAGTGCTGGGATTACAGGCGTGAGCCACTGCACTGAGCCTACAGCTCATTTCTTAACACATAAAGCTTTGCACCTCTCCACAAAACTGCCATCAGGGATGTCCCCAGAAACCATTCATCCCAGGTGCCACGCAGAGAAGAGTTGCTTGTTCTCCTTTTCCCTTTACCTCTTCCCTCTCACCTCATCATGTTCATTCATTCATCCCTTTTCCATTCTCACTTTTAAGCTTTAACCTTTCAAAAGCCTATCTTCCCCTATAAGTAATGTATTGTAACTCCCGCCATCACCATATCCTTCTCCAACCAACCAAACTGCCATCCTGAGTTTATGGAAAGTCCATAAACTAAGAAGAAATGGGAAACATTCATTGCTAACTTGGCAGCCCCTCATCCACCCTACGTGAGAGCACAGATCTTATTGTCTTTGAAGACCCTTTCTTTTTTTTTTTTTTTTTTTTTTTTTTGAGAAGCAGTCTCACTGTCGCCCAGGCTGGAGTGCAGTGGCACAATCTCGGCTCACTGCAAGCTCCAACTCCTGGGTTCATGCCATTCTCCTGCCTCAGCCTCCCGAGCAGCTGGGACTACAGGCACCCGCCACCACGCCCGGCTGATTTTTTTTGTATTTTCAGTAGAGACAGGGTTTCACTGTTAGCCAGGATGGTCTCGATCTCCTGACCTCGTGATCTGCCTGCCTCGGCCTCCCAAAGTGCTGGGATTACAGGCATGAGCCACCGTGCCCAGCTCCTTTTTTTTTTTAAAGACAGGTCTCACTCTGCTGCCCAGGCTCAAGTGCAGTGGTGTAATCATGGCTTACTGCAGCCTCCAACTCCTGTGCTCAGGCTATCCGCCTGCCTCAGCCTCCCAAGCAGCTAGGACTACAGGCACACACCACCACACCTAGCTAATCTGTTTAGTTTTTGTAGAGATGGGGGTCCTGCTATGCTGAACAGGCTGGTCTCGAACTCCTGGCCTCAAGCAATCCTCCCACCTTGGCCTCCCAAAGTGCTGGGATGACAGGCATGAGCCACCATGCCTGGTCTGAAGACTTTTAAATGCTGCCATATTCAAGACGCGTTGAAACTCACCTGTATTCGATGAGCCTGCTTTTCGCAAATGAGTAACATAAAACAGACTGAAATACCTTAAGCTTCTCAGCCTTTTACCCTCCTCTGGAATAATGAGTGTATCCCAAAAGTAAATCCATAATGAGGTCCAGTTTTTCCTTCATCCTTGGCTATGAAATAGACAAGAAAAAGGCAAGCTAGCCATTTCCATCTCACTATAGCAGACTCTCATGTTTGCTTTTTGACCGTACGTGGGAAGCGGGGGCCTGACTGCTTTCCTACTTCCTAAGCACAACTTACTTTTCCTAGGAAATTCTCAACACAACCTACATGGATTAAACCAGGTTCCCCCCTTTGTTTCCAATATTCTTACAGCCAAAATGTCCAGAATGGGCAAGGCAACCTGAAAAAATGAGGACGGGTACATTATCCCATGCGCTAAACTGCCACTTACACTGGTTAGTCATGAAATCGGCAAAATTCCAGATGAGCTCTCCAACCACGTATTTTCTGCGTTTTTGATCCAGACCCAGATGGTACTGCTCTAGCAGACTTTTCCGGTCCTCTTCACTGAACATCAGAGGTGGATCCTGGGATTCAAGGCAAAGAGAATTAAGAGTAAGAACTGGCAGAATTGTAAATGTTAGATAAAAATAAAGATCCACTTGATGGTGACCAAAATATCTGTCCTCACTGGGGGCTGTAGGGACTGCAGGACTCACTGATGCTAGGGTAAAGACAGCCAGGGAGAAATTGGAAATCATCATTCTCAGTAAACTATCGCAAGAACAAAAAAACAAACACCGCATATTCTCACTCATAGGTGGGAATTGAACGATGAGATCACATAGACACAGGAAGGGGAACATCACACTCTGGGGACTGTTGTGGGGTGGGGGGAGGGGGGAGGGATAGCATTGGGAGATATACCTAATGCTAGATGACGAGTTAGTGGGTGCAGCACACCAGCATGGCACATGTATACGTATGTAACTAACCTGCACAATGTGCACATGTACGCTAAAACTTAAAGTATAATAATAATAATAAAAAAATACAAAAAAAGAAACGACAGCCAGGGAATGATGTAACCCAGAATTAAAAAGGAGGTTTAAAAAAAAACCATCAATTAGCAACTGCTTTATTTATAAATATAAACTGATACTCAATTTTTCTTACTTTTCCGTCTCTGTCTGCTGATACAGTCTTAAGGCTGAACTACACTAGAAGGAAAAATATGTCTTTAGGTCAGGCGCGCTGGCTCATGTCTGTCATCCAAGCACTTTGGGAGACCGAGGTGGGAGGACTGCTTGAGCCTAGGAGTTCAAGACTAGCCTACAAAAAGTACAAAAGTTAGCCAAGCATGGAGGCACACACCTGTGGTCCCAGCTACTTGGGAGGCTGAGGTGGGAGGACTGCTTCAGTCCCGGAGGTCAAAGCTGTGGTTTGCACCACTACACTCCAGCCTGGGTGACAGAACAAGACCCTATCTCATGAATGAATGAATGAATGTAAAATGAAATTAAACTAAACCAGGCTGGGCATGGTAGCTCAGGTCTGTAATCCCAGCACTTTGGGAGGTCGAGGCAGGAGGATCACTTGAGCTCAGGAGTTCAAGATCAGCCTAGGCAACACAGTAAAACCCAGTCTCTATAAAAAGGCTAAATATTCGCTAGGTGTAGTGGCGCATGACTGTGGCTCCAGCTACTTGGGGGGCCGAGGAGGAAGGATCACTTGAGCCCAGGAGGTTGAGCAGTGAGCTGTGATTACGCCACTGCACTCCAGCCTGGGCAACAGAGTAAGGCTGTCTCAAAAAAAAATTTTTTTTAATTAAACCAAATAAATTCAGTTATCCTAGTCATATATCAAGACCTCAATAGCCACATGTAGCTAGTGGCTACCATTTCAGACAGTGCAGACATGGGGCATTTCCATCATTGCAAAGGTTCTTTTTTGAAACAAGGTCTCACTCTGTCACCCAGGTGGGAGTACAGTGGTGCAATTATGGCGGACTGCAGCCTTGACCTACTGGGCTCAAACAGTCCTCCTACCTCAGCCTCCCAAGTAGCTGGGACTAGAGGCAAGCACGACCATACCCAACTATTTTTTTTTTTTTTTTTTGAGACGGAGTCTTGCTCTGTCGCCCAGGCTGGAGTGCAGTGGCACAATCTCGGCTCACTGCAACCTCCACCTCCCCAGTTCAAGCGATTCTCCTGCTTTAGCCTCCTGAGTAGCTGGGATTACAGGTGCATGCCACCACACCCAGCTAATTTCTGTGTTTTCTTAGTAGAGACGGGGTTTCACCATCTTGGTCAGGCTGGACTTGAACTCTTGGCCTCGTGATCCACCCACCTCAGCCTCCCAAAGTGCTGGGATTACAGGCGTCAGCCACTGCACCCAGCCACAACTCATCTTAAATATTTTGTAGAGATGGGGTCCATGTTGTGCAGACTGGTCTCAAACTCCTGGGCTCAAGAGATCCTCTGACCTCGGTCTCCCAAAGGGCTAGCATTCCAGGTGTGAGCCAGCACACCCAGCACTGCAGAGGTTCTATCAATGCTCACCTAGACCCTCTCGAGTTTCTTAAGAATTCAGAACTGGGGCTGGGTATGGTGGCTCATGCCTGTAATTCCAGCACTTTGGGAGGCCAAGGCAGGTGGATCGCTTGAGGTCAAAAGTTCAAGACCAGCCTGACCAACGTGGTGAAACCTCATCTCTACTAAAAAAAAAAAAAAAAAAAAAAAAATTAGGTGAGCATGGTGGTGCATGCCTGTAATCCAAGCTACTTGGGAGGCTGGTGCAGGAGAATTGCTTGAACCTGGGAGGCGGAGGTAGCAGTGAGTCAAGATTGCACCACTACACTCCAGCCTGGGCGACAAGTGAAACTCCTCCTAAAAGGAGAAAGAATTCAGAGCTGGTTACCTTTTCAAAGAGAATGAACAAGGGTGCATATCCACAAATCACTTCCCCCTACTTGACTAGTTTACAGAAGTGTCATTCTGTAAGCACGATAAATTTAAGGGTGCAAACAGAACAGTGCAGTCCATTGTGGGTGGCTGTTCCCTGTGTGTCAACGGGAGTCCCAGGAGCTGTGCAAAAGAGTGTGAGCTGGCTGGGGAGGGGACAAGGGGCTGGATGGGGTTCAGGAATCCACATGAAAAAAACCCCACAAGACAAAGCAACATATCTTTGGTGAGAAGGACAAAAAATGAGATGGATAAACAAATGAGGACAGGCCAGGCATGGTGGCTCAGGCCTGTAATCCCAGGATTTTGGGACGCGGAAGCAGGCAAATCACTTGACGTCAGGAGCTCAAGACCAGCCTGGCCAACATGGCAAAACCCCACCTCTACAAAAATACAAAAATTAGCTGGGCATGGTGGCAGGTGCCTGTAATCCCAGCTGCTTGGGAGGTTGAGGCAGGACAATCGCTTGAGCCTAGGAAGTGGAGGTTGCAGTGAGCTGAGATCACACCATTGCACTTCAGCCTGGGTGACAGAGTGAGACTCCATCTCAAAAAAAAAAAAAGACAAAGTGAGTGATTAAACATGGCTCTAAGATCTCACCCATGCCCTCAATAGGTATTATTTAGCATGTACTGTGTCAGCTATTGCAGAGTACCTGGGAAACAACAATAAATAGGACTCCTGTCTCCTGAGCCCACAGTCCGATCAAAGAGAGAGCCAAAGAAATAACAACGGTGCCTGGCGAGAATGTTGGGAGAGCCAGGTTCCGGCTGCAACAGGGCAGAGCACGGGGAAGGTTCCCTCCGCCTGGGGCAGGCAGGGTAAACCTCCCCACAGAGGGGACAGCTATGAGGAGACTCAGATGCCAAACAGGAATCTTTTCAGCCACGTGTCGTGACTCATGCCTGTATTCCCAGCACTTTGGGAGTCCAAGACAGGAGGTGAAGACCAGCCTGATAGCGAGACTCATCTCTACAAATATTTTAAAACTAGGCTGCACATGGTGGTGCACGCCTGTAGTCCCAGCTACTCAGGAGGCTGAGGCAGGAGAATTGCTTCAGCCCAGGAGTTCGAGGCTGCAGTGAGCTATGATGACACCACCACACTCCAGCCTGGGCAACAGAACAAGACCCTGTCAGGAAAAAAATAAAAAATAAAAAAAGGCTAGCACAGTGGATCACACCTGTTAATCCCAGAACTTTGGGAGGCCAAGGCAAAAAGATCAATTGAGTCCAGGAGTTTGAGACCAGCCTGGGCAACATAGCAAGACCCTATCTCTAAAAAAATAAAAAGAAAAGGATCTTTTAGTTGGTGATTATGGTGCCAACTTGGGCATTCCAGGCAGAAAGAATAGCTCAAGCAAGAGCAGGAGAGCAAATGAGGGCAGTGGAAACAGATCAGTGGCCAGGAGTGAGAAGAGAAGAGGATGAAAACCCAGGAGAGAGCAGAGGACACTGAGTGTCCTGACTAGGGGTTAGGACTTTGTCCTATGGGCCTGGGGGAGCCAATGACAGGACTCAAAAATTTTGATTTGTGGCCGGGCACAGTGGCTCACACCTGTAAATCCCAGCGCTTTGTGAGCCTGAGGCAGGAGGGTCACTTGATCCCAGGAATTCAAGACCAGCCCAGGGAACACAACAAGGCCCCATCTCTACAAAAGTAAAAAAATTAGCCAGGCATGGTGGCCTGTGCCTATGGTCCCAGATACTCAGGAGGCTGAGGTGGGAAGATCGCTTGGGCCCAGGAGGTTAAGGCTGCAGGGAGCAGTGATCGCACCACCGCACTCCAGCTTGGGTGACAGAGAGAGAGGCGGTCTCAAAAACACATAAAAATTTGGATTTCTTAGAAAGACCACTTGGGCACGGGTGATAGGAGGCTGTCTGGAAACAATGCCAGTAAGGAGTCCACCTTTGAGGACCAAGCGAGTGGGGCAGAGGCCTGGCTGCTGGTGAGAAGGGAACGTGGACAGGGTAGCGGGAGGTGAGCCCAAAGCTGAAGCAAGGGGAGCACTGCAGTGGGCGCAGGGCAGGGTGGGGGAGGCAAGTGGCATCTCTGCCCAGAGAGAATACACAAGCAGGAAGTTCAACACCGCTTACCTGGTGAAACCCTACAAGCGTTTCCACTCCATACGCGCTCTGAATAATGGGATTGTGATGTCTTACACCAATTCTCAAACTGGGCGGCCAGCTGCAGCTGAATCAACTCCAGGTGCCCGTAGTTGCGATACCAAGAGTAGTAGCTGTTCACACGGATCACATCCACATACAGAGCCTAGGACCAGAGCAGCAGAGCCCGTTCAGCAACCACAAGACCGCATGACTCAGTACTCACATGCTGTGGGGGCTCCTCTGACAGAGAAGGTAAGAAGGGGATGTAATCCCAGCACTCTGGGAGGCTGAGGCAGGAGGGTGGCTTGTGGCCAGGAGTTCGAGACCAGCCTGGGCAACACAGCAAGACCCCAGCTCTACAAAAAATAGTATCAAGAAAATCAGCACGGCACAGTGGCTCATGCCTGTAATCCCAGCACATTGGGAGGCCAAGGTGGGAGGATCACTTGAGCCCAGGAGTTTGAGACCAGCCTGGGCAACATCGTAGGACTCCATTTCTACAAAACAAAACAAAAAGCCTACAACGGGAAGAGCTGCCTCTCGGGGCTGAGAACATCCAACTGCACCAATTTAGATCCTGAAATTACCCTGCCCCACAAGCAAAAAACATGGTCACAAAGTGGCCCAAAGGAGGCAGGCCTGTGATTGCACACTGACGCTCACGACGTGTGCAGCTGGGAAGGGCTGTGAGAGGCAGAGCAGCTGCCAACACGCAGTCCTCAGCCAAAACCCAGGGCCCCCGCCACTGGAACTGACTCCTCTCCAGGCAGCACTCCCAGCACTGGGCATCCCCTCACCTTGCCCTGGAGAAGCCCTCCCACCCAAGGGGCCAATGCAGTCATTCTCGCAGATAATCTTTTTCCGCTTTGTTTGGAAGACAGAGTCTCGCTCTGTTGCCCAGGCTAGAATGGAGTGGCACAATAATGCAACCTCTGCCTCCCACGATCAAGCGCAGGCGTGGTGGCATGTGCCTGTTATCCCAGCTACTTGGGAGGCTGAGGCAGGAGAATTGCTTGAACCTGGGAGGCGGAGGTTGCACTGAGCTGAGACTGTGCCACTGCACTCCAGCCTGGGCAACAGAGCAAGACTCTATCTTAAAAAAATAATAAAAAATAAAAAAGAATGCTAGTATCAGCCAGGCACGGTGGCTCATGCCTGTAATCCCAGCACTTTAGGAGGCTAAGGCAGGAGGATCACTTGAGCTCAAGAGTTTGAGACTGGCCTGGGCAACATAGTGAGATCCCATCTCTACAAAAACATTTAAAATTAGCCGGGCACAGTGGTGTACCCCCGGAGTCCCAGCTACTTGGAAGGCTGAGGCAAGAGGCTTGCTTAGGCCCAGGAATTCAAGGCTGCAGTGAGCTGTGATCACACCACTGCACTCCAGCCAGAGCAACAGAGTAAGACCTTGCCTTCACACACACACACAAAAAAACAAAAAACTCAGGTTCCAACCCTGGAGTTACTAAATCAGGATCTCAGAACGCAGAGATCTGGCATTTCAATAAAACTTCCCCTGGAGATTCTGATCAGCCAGGTTTGGGCCAGATGAACTCTAAGCTCACTTAAACCTTTGACATTTTATGAGTCTATTAAATCGAGTACAAAAAATGCTGAGTCCAAACCGGGCAAACAAATCCCATCTCCCTATGCCCAGCCTCCTTGGATTCAGAAAGCCACACTGCCTGGAGAGTAAGCAGAGAGAGAATTGTCATTAACCCAAAGACCATCTTTGAAAACAGACTGGCTGCGGCTGAGTGCGGTGGCACACGCCTGTAACCCCAGCCCTTTGGAAGGCCGAGGCAGGAGGATCACTTGAGCCCAGGAGTTCGAGACCAGCCTGGGCAACATGGCAAGACCCTGTCTCTATCTTTCTAAGTAAAACAAAATAAAAAGCTCAGACTGGCAGCACATGGTTCTTTCCAGCTGTTCCCATGAGCAGGCTTCAGGACAAGCCCAGGCAAAGGCAGGGAGAAATGGGGTGGGGACCCCCAGGCTCACCCCCTTGTCTGCTGCGTAGGTGGAGTTGGTCACAAAGGTCACAGGCTGGGAGGGGTCCAAGGCTTTGGTGTGAGCAATCACCATCCTGTCCACAAAAGAGAGAAGACACAGGTTCCGTCAGTCCGGGAAAGGCTCAGACACCCTCCCATCCTCTCTGTCCCATCTTCCCCTGCCAGAACACAACTGGGGGCCAGGCACGATGGCTCACGCCTGTAATCCCAGCACTTCAGGAGGCTGAGGCAGGCAGATCACTGAGGTCAGGGGTTCAAGAACCGCCTGGCCAACATGGCAAAACCCCATTTCTACTAAATATACAAAAATTAGCCAGGCATAGTGGCACGCATCTGTAACTCCAGCTACTCGGGAGGCTGAGGCACAAGAATTGCTTGAACCCGGGAGGTGGAGGTTGCAGTGAGCCGAAATCACGCTACTGCACTCCAGCCTGGGCCACAGAGCAAGACCCTGCCCCAAAACAAACAAACAAACAAACAAACAAACAAAAAAAAAAGAAAGAAAAAAAAGGAAAAAAAAAACAAAAAACAAAGCACAGAGCCGCTGCTTTCTTCCCTAACTTGAGATGTATTTTACATAAGGGCACGTTCCTCTAGTCCTAGACCGAGCTCTCTAACAACACTCTTTCTCCCCCACCCCTGAATCCAACTCCCCCAGAGGCGTAGCCACCCTGCCGGGTACACAGAGCTGAGGTCACTGGACTGAACACTGCCAGAAATGAGGTTCACTTCCTGAAATAGCTCTTGAACACAGGAGTGAATGGGCTGTGGATTCAGGTGGAATATTTATTAATGCATCAAGCAAACAGGTAGTGCGAGGTGGGAGGTAGGCATGAGGCTGGGTGCTAGGTGCTCAGTAATGACTCAAATCTAAGTCCACAGGTCCTGGGCAGTGGGAGTGGAGATGCATGCACAGAAAAACGGTGCAAGTGCCAGGCGAGGTGGCTCACGCCTAGAACCCCAGCACTTTGGGAGGCTTACTTGAGACCAGGCGCTTGAGACCAGCCTGGACAACATAGCAAGACCTTGTTTCTACAACAAATTTAAAAATTAGGGCCGGGCATGGTGGCTCAAGCCTGTGAGCACTTTGGGAGGCCAAGGCAGGTGGATCACGAGCTCAAGAGTTCGAGACCAGCCTGGCCAACATGGTGAAACCCCATCTCAACAAAAAATAAAGAAGAAAACTAGCTGGGCATGGTGGCGTGAGCCTGTAATCCCAGCTACTCGGGAGGGTGAGGCAGGAGAACTGTTTGTACCCAGGAGGTAGAGGATGCAGTGAGCCAAGATCGCAACACTGCTCTCCAGCCTGGGAGACAGAGCAAGACTCTGACTCGTGGGGAAAAAAAAAATATTAAAATTTAGCCTGGCAAGGCAGCGCACGTCTGTGGTCCCAGCTATTTGGGAGGCTGAGTGGGGAGGCTCGCTTAAGCCCAGGAGGTCGAGATGGCAACGAGCTATGATTGCACCACTGCACTCCAGCCTGGGCAACAGAGTGAGACCCTGACTCTGAAAAACAAACAATGAAAGAAATGTTGCGAATGGAAATGACAAGTGGTGGCAGGAATTGGGCACTCTATGAGACAACAGACACATCCCCGATTGGAGAGTCAGGGACAGGCTCTTAGAAGAAATGGCCTTTATGCTGAGTCAAGTTAACCAGGAGGGATGAAGGGAAGAGGCTCCCAACAGAGGGACCAGTCCGTGCTCAGAGCTCCCAGCATCTGCCCAAGGCCTCCACAGAACAGACTGTTGTGTTTTTGTTTTGTTTTGTTTTGTTGAGATACAGAGTCTCATTCTGTAGCCCAGGCTGGAATGCAGTGGCATTATCTCAGCTCATTGCAATCTCTGCCTCCTGGTTCACCTGAGGCGATTCTCCTGCCTCAGCCTACCTGGTAGCTGGGATTACAGACGTCCACCACCATGCCCAGCTAATTTTTGTATTTTTAGTAGAGACAGGATTCACTACCTGTTGACCAGGCTGGTCTCGAACTCCTGACCTCGGGTGATCCACCCACCTCAGCCTCCCAAACTGCTGGGATTACAGGCGTGACCCACCGCATCCGGCCTAGACCGTTGTTGAAGCTGGTTTTCTTCTTCTTTCCTCAGTTCTTTTCTTTTACATCTTCCCCCCATCATTGCTCTGCCCATCCGAAGGCTGTGGCTGGCACAGGACAGAATAGAACCTCCTAGCCTCAAGTTCCAAACCCACACTCTCCAATAGCCAGGCTCTCAGATGGGAAGCTTCAAAGCCTTGTGACAGCCTGGCTGAACCTCTCCAGCCTGGGCCCTCCCTCCATTTCCTGCCCCGGAAACAGGCATCTCCTCTGGCCACCTCCCAAAGCCTGTCTGGAAGCCTCAGGCACCCGCTCCTGGAAGCCTGTACGATTCACAACAAACGGCCTGTCCACCCAGTCGTGCTGAGCACACCCCTATTCCCCCGAGCTCTGAATTGTCCTTTGCCCAGGCTAGGACAACATCTCAGAGCCTTCTGCCTGCTGCAGACTCGGCTCAGCCCAAATCACTCCATGAAATTGGGGTGTGGCATCTGCCTCAAGGAGCATTTCTACAACCTCTGCTGCCTCTACCGCAAATGAAACTGGCTCTCACCCACTGGCTCTCGGTGACGGGCACAGTGCGGAGCCCCACAGGGAGTGTGTAGAAGTCAAAGGCCCCAGTGACTTCTGTGCAGTCAGCCGCACCTACGACAGCCAAAGCGCCAGGTGTGAGCGCCCCGACAGCCTGAGCCCCATCTGGCCTGCCCTACAGCAGGAAGACCCCTCGTGCATGCACCCCAGAAGTCGCCACTGGGCCTGCAGAGAAGCAGCAATCAGAGGCTCTGCCCTTCACTGGCTGACCCTGGGACCTGCCCTTCAAAATCAGGCCTTCTCCTTGACCAGACGAGGTGGCTCATGCCTGGAATCCCTACACCTTGGGAGGCTAAGGCAGGAGGATCACCTGAGTCCAGGAGTTCAAGACCAGCCTGGGCAACCTAGTAAGACCCCAACTCTATAAAAAGGAGTTTTTTTTTTTGAGACAGTCTCACTCTGTCACCCAGGATAGAGTGCTGCGGCATGATCTCAATTCACCGCGGCCCCTGCCTCCTGGGTTCAAGCAATTCCCCTGCCTCAGCCTCCCGAGTAGCTGGGATTACAGACGTGCACCATCATGCCCTGCAAATTTTCATATTTTAGTAGAGACGGGGTTTCACCATGTTGGCCAGGCTGGTCTCCAACTCCTGGCCTAAAGTGATCTGCCCGCGTCAGCCTCCCGAAGTGCTGGGATTACAGGTGTGAGCCACCATGCCCGGCCTACAAAAAAAATTTTTTTAATTAGCCAGGCATGGTGGCATGTGCCTGTAGTCCCAGCTACTCAGGAGGCCAAGGTAGGAGGATTGCAGCTCAAAGCTGCAGTGAGCTGTGATCAGGCCATTGCATTCCAGCCTGGGTGACAGAGTGAGACCATCACAAAAACAAACAAACAAACAAATAAATAAATAAATAAATAAATAAAAAATCTGGGCCTCCCACCAAGGGTGGGAAACATCAGAAAGCTCAGAGGACCACACCTGCCCGTTCACCTGTCCTGGGCTCCTGCTGAAGCCAGGGCTACCAGATGGGGGCAAAAGACCTCCCTTACGCAAGTCCCAAACCACCATTACCTCCCACGAGTACAGGTAGGCGGGGTGTTCGTGCATCAGGTACGGCCACCAGAGGTTGGCACCCAGCACCTTCAGCTGGCCCTGGGTCCCAGCCTGGTTGTCCACGACTTTGTTTTCTGCATTCAAAAGACACACTTCCAACTTGAACTGGTTACTGCACTTGACGGAGATCTGGTAATTCACCAGCCCTGCAGGAGGCAAGAGAGACCAGGGCTTAGGGAGGGACATGACCTGGGTCACACAAACGGGAAGGCCCCACAATGACCACTCCCAGGCACTCTCATTTGCTTCTGTTGCTTTTTTTTTTTTCTTTGAGATAGAATCTCGCTCTGTCACCCAGGCTGGAGTGCAGTGGCATGATCTGGACTCACTGAAACCTCTGCCACCCAGGTTCAAGTGATTCTCCTGCCTCAGCCCCTGGAATAGCTGGGATTACAGGCACCTGCCACCACATCCAGCTAATTTTTGTATTGTTAGTAGAGACGGGGTTTCACCACATTAGCCAGGATGGTCTTGATCTCCTGACCTCGTGATCCGCCTGCCTCGGCCTCCCAAAGTGCTGGGATTACAGGTTGAGCCACCGTGCCCGGCCCTGAACCAATGCGCCCAGCCCGCTTTTAATTTAATTTTTTAATTTTTTTTTTTTTTTTTTTTTTTTTTTTTTGAGATGGAGTCTCACTGTCACCCAGGCTGGAGTGTAGTGCTGCGATCCTGACTCGCTGCAACCTCCACCTCTGGAGTTCAGGTGATTCTCCTGCCTCAGCCTTCCGAGTACCTGGGAATACAGGAATGCACCACCATGCCCGGCGAATTTTTCTATTTTCAGTAGAGACGGAGTTTTGCCATGTTGGCCAGGCTGGTCTCGAACTCCTGAACTCAGGTGATCCACCCGCCTCAGTCTCCCAATAGATTACATATATTATTAATGAATTGCTTCCTTTAACACCCTATTCATTGAATTTTCCAGTAAACCACAATTACTAATTACTCCTGAAATCAGAAAAGAGGTTAAAAAGATTTTATAACAGTATCCTATGAAATCTACTACTTTCAAGTAACAGTAGTTGAATTACCAAAACCTGTCACTCAAGCCAATGACTACAATTAAGATATGAGTAACATTTCCTAGATAAATAAAGTCAATTAATTATATTTGCATCTGGGAAATAGAGAAAGTACATATAAGCCATGATTTTGAAGTCAAAAGAGAGAGAATATTTGCCAAGGAGGGGTGAGTTATAGTATGTAATTATAACATACAGAAGTTTTTTGTATGCTGGTAACTAATTTTAATTTCCTACATTTTTATGTAGATTTCTGCTATTCTTGTCCTATTTTCCTAATCATCTTTCTATATGAATGACTACATAATTCTGAGAATACCAAAAGAGACAGACACAGAACCAATCGGATTCCTTTCTTCTTGAAGCTTCTGCACAGCAAAAGAAACTATCAACAGAGTGAACAGACAACCTACAGAATGGGAGAAAATTTTTGCAACAATGCATGTGACAAAGATCTAATGTCCAACACTGATAAGGAACTTAAACAAATTTACAAGAAAAAAAAAAATCTCATTAGAAAGTGGGCACAGGACATAAACAGACACTTCAAAAGAAGACACACATGCGGCCAACAAGCATATGAGAAAAAGCTCAATATCACTGATCATTAGAGAAATGCAAATCAAAACCACAATGGCATACCATCTCACACCAGTCAGTATGGTTATTATTAAGAAGTCAACGCCGGGCATGGTGGCTCACGCCTATAATCCCAGCACTTCAGGAGGCCAAGGCAGGCAGATCGCATGAGGTCAGGAGTTCCAGACCAGCCTGGACAACCTGGCGAAACCCCGTCTCTACTA
Source organism: Homo sapiens (assembly GCF_000001405.40). Taxonomy (NCBI): domain Eukaryota; kingdom Metazoa; phylum Chordata; class Mammalia; order Primates; family Hominidae; genus Homo; species Homo sapiens. The sequence goes on from NW_003315917.2 coordinate 627,061, forward strand.
AAAATACAAAAATTAGCCCAGCGTGGTGGCGGGTGCCTGTAATCCCAGCTACTCAGGATGCTGAGGCAGGAGAATCGCCTGAACCCGGGAGGCAGAGGTTGTAGTGAGCCGAGATCATACCACTGCACTCTCCAGCTTAGGTGACAGAGCGAGACTCTGTCTCAAAAAAAAAAAAAAATATTTGAATTTTGTTTAAATCGCTAACACATACTGGGCATTTAATAACAAAAAAAAAAGGACATGAGATTGTGATCCTTATGAAGGTTTGAGAGGCATTTCACTAGGGTTCAACATACAGCAGTCTGAAACATACTGTAATAATTTAATCCAATGGCTCATCTACAGCACCTAAAAAGATTACAGCAGATTCTCATTATTCAGTGTAGTTACGGTCTAGAAAGTTCCATGAACAAATAAAAAGTTAGGTTTCAGCAAGCTACTGGTCACACTTTTGTAAGCTTACCAACACCTACTTTTGTTGTATGTGTGCTTATTTAATATATATTGTTGGCCAGGCACAGTGGCTAACGCCTGTAATCCCAGCACTTTGGGAAGCCAAGGCGGGCAGATCATTTGAGGTCTGGAGTTCGAGACCAGCCTGGCCAACGTGGTGAAACCCCGTCTCTACTAAAACTACAAAAAAAAAAAAAAAAAAAAAAATTAGCCAGGCATGGTGGCGCATGCCTGTAGTCTTAGCTACTTGGGAGGCTAAGGCAGGGGAATCGCTTGAACCCAGGAGGCAGAGGTTGCAGTGAGCCAAGACTGCACCACTGCACTCCAGCCTGAGCAACAGAGTGAGACTCTATCTCAAAAAAAATAATAATAATAATTAATTAAATGAAGAATAAATAAATAATATACATTGTTCATTCATTAACATTGAACTCACAGCCAACGGCACTACAGCACTCACGCCTGAATGGAGTTTATTTAATGCATGTATTTTCTCTGTAAGACACATCACAGACTTCTTGGACTTGTGAATGCTAAGCAGCACTTCAGCACTATGCTTGGGGGTTAATTTAAATGGCAAAACAACCAACAAACAGCACAAAAACAGGAAAAGCATGGCATTAAATAGACCACAAAAAGGATACCTGACTATTGTATGAGAGCTGAAAAAGAAGGCAGAATATCATCCTGTTCAAACTCAAATTCTTTGACACTCTGCGCAAACACATGACTATGAAAGTGCTGTGAGTACTGATTTGGGGGTTACAAAAAATAGTAGGTGAGTTCACAAATACAAAAGCTGAAAACAAGGAGGATCGACTGTATTTTCGTAGACAATCTAATCTCAGAAGATTTCAGTTCAGACAAAAATCATGATAATTACTGTATTACAAAAGGGCACTAGATAGGGGGAAAAGAGTAAAAATCACAATTAAAACAAAGGTTCAAAATTCTGCAGCAACCATATCCAGTTACACTTTAATATGTTTGTGGCAGACTACATTATTGTTCCCAACTCATCACCCCTCCCTATATCTAAAACCTTTCCCCAAGACAATGCAGTTCCTCCTGCTAGAGATCAGGTATATTTATCTATACTATCAATGTTAGCCATGGACAAGGTATGTGCTTTGGCTGACTGAATGTTAGTGGACATGAGAGAAGCAATGGCTTAAAATGTACTTCCAGAACTGGAGTTTCCTTGTGATTCTATCACTGTGACAAAAACACATTCTCAGGTAGTCCACTGATCCAAGGGGGAACAAACACACAGAAAACATACCTAGACTCTATCTGCAGCTTGCAGCCTCACCAAGCCAAGAACAGTCAACTCACAGATATGTTAGCAAAAATAAATGTTTTTCATACCTTAAGTTTTATATAATTATTGACCTACAGTTAACTGATATACAATATACATTAATCTTAAAATATCACTATCCCATTAAAAATACTTACATTAAAAACTGAGACCACTTTCTTTCCTTTTTTTTTTTTTTTTTTTTAAATTAAGAGACAGGGTGTCTCAATGTTGCCCAAGCTGGAGTTCAGTAGCTAGTGGCTATTCACAAGAACGATCATCGCACACTACCTCAAACTCCTGGGATCAAGCAATCCTCCTGCCTCAGCTTTCCAAGTCGCTGGGACTATAAGTGTGTACCACAGCATGTCAGCTCTCTCTCTCCTTCTTGACCTAAAGCCTAGCATAAAATTAGCTAAGTAGAATGTTTCCAAAGATGGCTGCATCAGTATCTCCCATCCCACATAATTTCTGTTTCATTTTGCCATTCACCCATAAAATGGTGGGATCTACCTCCCCTCCTTGCAAATTTGAGCTGGCCCTCTGATCCTGTCTAAGATCTGAAGCCAGATATTAAGGTACTTCATTAATTTCCATGTTTGTCCTCTATGCAACCTAGCAATCAAGCAAGAAGTCAAAACATACTGACATAGTTTGGATGGGTCCCCACCCAAATCTCACCTTGCATTGTAATAATTCCCACGTGTCAAGGGTGGGGCCGGGTGCAGATAACTGAATCATGGGGATGGTTCCCCCCATACTGTTCTCGCGGTAGTGACTAAGTCTCATGAGATCTGATGGTTTTATAAATGGGAGCTCCCCTGCACATGCTCTCTCCTGCCTGCCACTATGTGAGACATGCTTTTGCACCTCCTTGCCTTCCACCATGATTGTGAGGCCTCCCCAGCCATGCAGAACTGTGAGTCAATTCAACCTCTTTCCTTTATAAATTACCCAGTCTCAGGTATGTCTTTATTTGCGGTGTGAGAACAGACTAATACAATAAGTTGATACCAGTAGAGTGGGGTGCTGCTGTAAAGATACCCGAAAATGTGGAAGCAACTTTGGAAATGGGTAACAGGGAGAGGCTGGAACAGTTTGGAAGGCTCAGAAGAGGATAGGAAAATGTGGGAAAGTTTGGAACTTCCTAGAGACTTGTTGAATGGCTTTGACCAAAATGTTAATAGTGATATGGACAACAAGGTCCAGGCGGAGGTGGTCTCAGAGGGAGATGAGGAATTTGTTGGGAAATGGAGTAAAGTCACTCTTACTATGCAAAGACACTGCAGGCATTGTGCACCTGTATTAGAAACGGGCATAAGATAGGCGGGAAAGAGGGAAAATAAGAATTTCTTTCTAGAGTTCCCTACAGATCTGTGGAACTTTGAACTTGAGAGAGATGATTGAAGGTATCTGACAGAAGAAATTTCTAAGCAGCAAAGCATTCGAGAAGAAGCAGAGCATAAAAGTTCAGAAAATTTGTAGCCTGATGATGCAACAGAAAAGAAAAATCTATTTTCTCAGGAGACTGGGTTGTAGAAATTTGCATAAGTAATGAGGAGCCAAATGTTAATCACCAAGACAATGGGGCAAATGTCTCCAGGGCATGTTAGAGACCCTCACAGCAGACCCTCCCATCACAGGCCAGGAGGCTTAGAAGGAAAAATGGTTTTGTGGGTCCAGAACCCCCTGCTGTGTGCAGCCTAGGAACTTGGGGCCCTGCATCCCAGCTGCTCCTGCCATAGGTAAAAGGGGCCAAGGTACACCTCAGGCCATGGCTTCAGAGGGTGCAAGTTCCAAGCCTTTCAGGTTCTAGGTGGTGTTAAGCCTGCAGATGCACCAAAGTCAAGAATTAACGTTCATGAACCTCCGCCTACATTTCAGAAGATGTATGAAAATGCCTGGAAATCCAGGCAAAAGTTTGCTGTGGGGGGGAGGGGAGGGGGGGGCCCTCATGGATAACCTCTGCTAGGACAGTGTCAAAGGGAAATATGGGGTTGGAGCTCCCACACAGAGTCCCCACTGGGGTACTGCCAAGCAGAGCTGTGAGAAAAGGGCCACCATCCTCCAGACCCCAGAATGGTAGATCCACTGACAGCTTGCACTGTGTGCCTGGAAAAGCTGCAGACACTCAATGCAGCCAGAAGGGGGGCTGTACCCTGCAAAGCCACAGGGGCGGGGCTGCCCAAGACCCTGGGAACCCACTTCTTGCATCACCTAGATGTGACACATGGAGTCAAAGGAGGTCATTTTGGAGCTTTAAGATTTGCCTGCTGGGTTTTGGACTTGCATGGGGCCTGTAGCTCTTTCGCTTTGGCCAATTTCTCCCATTTGAAACGAGTGTATTTACCCAATGCCTGTATCCCTGTGTATCTAGAAAATAACTAACTTGCTTTTGATTTTACAGGCTCATAGGTGGAAGGGACTTGCCTTGTCTCAGATGAGACTTTGGACTATGGAATTTTGAGTTAATGCTGAAATAAGAGTTTGGGGGACTTAGGGGAAGGCATGATTGCTTTTGAAATATGAGGACATGAGATTTGGGAGGGGCCGGGGAAGAATTATATGGTTTGGCTCTGTCCGCACCCAAATCTCATCTTGAATTGTAACAATTCCCATGTGTCAAGGGTGGGGCCAGGTGGAGATAACTGAATCATGGAGGCAGTTTCCCCCATGCTGTTCTCATGGTAGTGAATAAGTCTCATGAGGTCTGATGGTTTTATAAATGGATGTTCCCCTGCACATGCTCTCTCCTGCCCACCATGTCTGACTAAATTTTGTATTTTTACTAGAGACGGGCTTTCACTATGTTGGCCAGGCTGGCCTCCAACTCCTGATCTCGTGATCCGTCCACCCCGACCTCCCAAAGTGCTAGGATCATAGGCATAAGCCACCACACCCGGCCTCTTTTTTTTCTTTTTCTTTTTTTTATCTGGAGACTGAGTTTTGCACTCGTTGCCCAGGCTGGAGTGCAATGGTGCGATCTCAGCTCACTGCAGTCTCCACCTCAGCAGGAGAGCAGGAATCTTCAGTGATCCACGGGCAAATATGCAGCCATTGTGGGCACCTGTTCCTCCCGCGACCTTTGTGCCCACGTCTCTCCCTCCAGTACCTACTGCACGACCCCCCACGTCCGCCTCCTGCCATTGCCAGCAGGTGCCTTGCGCGGGTACCTGGCTGCGCTTATTCATCCATTATGGTCGCTCTGTCACTGGTGCCATTATGTGCTCACATGCCCACTCCCTCAGGTTTAGAAGTCGCGTTGCCCGGCAACAGAACAATCTGCTGGCTTAGCCTTTGGCCAAGTTGGCAGCTGGACGAGGACGCTCAGAGCCCAGCTCTTGAGAGTTCAAGTATCCGACAGTTCCCCACTGCTCCCAGGAGCGGTTACCCGGGCACTCTGTGCCCCTCATTCCTGTTTGGGCCAAGGCCGAGGACCTGCGAGTAGGGCTCAGTTGCCTGGAGCCCCTTCAGCCCATCCCCCAGTTCACTTTGCTTGTGGGATCTCCCCGTTGCTCCTGCCCCTGGACTGAGTGGCAGGCCATCCTACAAACACCCGCACACTCGACATCACTGGTGTCAAGACAACTCTAAGAAGGTTTCAAGTGATCCTGCAAGACCTGTGTTCCATCCTGGTGATTCTGTCTTCAATTTCACTGCACAGGTACCACAGTAAGCCAGTGCTGTGTGCTCCGAGTTCCAGGGCATCCCCCAGCTCAGCCACTACACTGAGCACAAGGACTCTGTGGGGCCCAGGAGCAGGTAGTCACCCCTTTGGGGTCCACAACACCCGGCTGTCCCCAGACTTGTGTCCAGGGAAGATAGTGTTGAGGGCCCTCAAGGAGAGCGGGGCAGGGATGCCTGAGCAGCACAAGGACCCCAGAGTCCAAGAAAATCCTGATGATCAGAGAACGGTCCCCGAGGTCACCGGGGATGCACGGTCTGCATTTTGGCCCCTGCGGGACAATGGAGGCCCCTCTCCCTTTGTGCCCAGGCCCGGGCCTCTGCAGACAGACCTCCACGCCCAGAGCTCAGAAATCAGATATAACCACACATCCCAGACATCCTGGACGAGCTCGAGCACCAAACGAAATGCCATCTCCAGCTCCTACAGCTCCACGGGAGGCTTGCCGGGGCTAAAGCAGAGGAGGGGGCCAGCCTCATCCCGCTGCCAGCTGACCCTCAGTTACTCAAAGACAGTGAGTGAGGACAGGCCTCAGGCTGTCTCTTCGGGTCACACACGGTGTGAAAAGGGGGCAGATACAGCACCAGGGCAGACAATCGCCCCAACGGGTGGCTCCCCCAGATCCCAGGACTCTAGGCCCCGTAGACGCAAGATTCCCCTGCTGCCACGCAGGCGAGGGGAGCCTTTGATGCTGCCACCTCCCTTAGAGCTGGGGTACCGGGTCACGGCTGAAGACCTGCACCTGGAAAAAGAGAAGGCATTCCAGCGCATCAACAGTGCACTGCACGTTGAGGACAAGGCCATCCCGGACTGCAGACCCTCACGGCCTTCCCACACTTTGTCCTCACTTGCAACAGGGGCTTCGGGTGGGCCTCCCGTTTCTAAAGCACCCACTATGGATGCACAGCAGGACAGACCCAAGTCCCAAGACTGCCTGGGCCTAGTGGCCCCCCTAGCATCTGCTGCAGAGGTCCCCGCTACAGCTCCCGTGTCTGGGAAGAAGCACAGACCACCAGGACCCCTGTTCTCCTCCTCAGATCCCCTTCCTGCCAACTCTTCCCACTCCCGGGACTCAGCCCAGGTCACCTCGATGATTCCTGCCCCCTTCACAGCTGCAAGCAGGGATGCCGGCATGAGAAGAACAAGGTCGCCTCCTGCAGCTGCCGCAGCAGCCCCTCCCCCCTCCACATTGAACCCCACGTCGGGGTCGCTACTCAATGCAGTGGATGGAGGCCCCTCACATTTCTTGGCCTCAGCCACAGCTGCAGCACGTGCCCAGAGGTCAGAAGTGAGATATAACCAGAGATCCCAGACCTCCCGGACCAGATCCTGCCTCAAACGAAATGCCAGCTCCAGCTCCCACAGCTCTACGGAAGGCCTCCAGGAAGTAAAGCGGAGGAGGGGGCCAGCCTCATCCCACTGCCAGCTGGCCCACAGTTCCTCAAACACAGTGAGTGAGGACGGACCTCAGGCTGTCTCTTCGGGTCACCGCTGTGAAAACAAGGCAGGTACAGCACCAGGGCAGACACTTGCCCCCAGGGGTGGCTCCCCCAGATCCCAGGCCTCTAGGCCCCACATCAACACTGCACTGCACGTTGAGGACAAGGCCATCTCGGACTGCAGACCCTCACGGCCTTCCCACACTTTGTCCTCACTTGCAACAGGGGCTTCGGGTGGGCCTCCCGTTTCTAAAGCACCCACTATGGATGCACAGCAGGACAGACCCAAGTCCCAAGACTCCCTGGGCCTACTGGCCCCCCTAGCATCTGCTGCAGAGGTCCCCTCTACAGCTCCCGTGTCTGGGAAGAAGCACAGACCACCAGGACCCCTGTTCTCCTCCTCAGATCCCCTTCCTGCCACCTCTTACCACTCCCGGGACACAGCACAGGTCACCTCGCTGATTCCTGCCACCTTCACAGCTGCAAGCAGGGATGCCGGCATGAGAAGAACAAGGTCGGCTCCTGCAGCTGCCACAGCAGCCCCTCCCCCCTCCACATTGAACAACACGTCGGGGTCACTACTCAATGCAGTGGATGGAGGCCCCTCACATTTCTTGGCCTCAGCCACAGCTGCAGCACGTGCCCAGAGGTCAGAAGTGAGATATAACCAGAGATCCCAGACCTCCCGGACCAGATCCTGCCTCAAACGAAATGCCAGCTCCAGCTCCAGCTCCCACAGCTCTACGGAAGGCCTCCAGGAACTAAAGCGGAGGAGGGGGCCAGCCTCATCCCACTGCCAGCTGGCCCACAGTTCCTCAAACACAGTGAGTGAGGACGGACCTCAGGCTGTCTCTTCGGGTCACCGCTGTGAAAACAAGGCAGGTACAGCACCAGGGCAGACACTCGCCCCCAGGGGAGGCTCCCCCAGATCCCAGGCCTCTAGGCCCCACATCAACAGTGCACTGTACGTTGAGGACAAGGCCATCTCGGACTGCAGACCCTCACGGCCTTCCCACACTTTGTCCTCACTTGCAACAGGGGCTTCGGGTGGGCCTCCCGTTTCTAAAGCACCCACTATGGACGCACAGCAGGACAGACCCAAGTCCCAAGACTGCCTGGGCCTAGTGGCCCCCCTAGCATCTGCTGCAGAGGTCCCCTCTACAGCTCCCGTGTCTGGGAAGAAGCACAGACCACCAGGACCCCTGTTCTCCTCCTCAGATCCCCTTCCTGCCACCTCTTCCCACTCCCGGGACTCAGCCCAGGTCACCTCGCTGATTCCTGCCACCTTCACAGCTGCAAGCAGGGATGCCGGCATGAGAAGAACAAGGCCTGGCACCTCGGCTCCTGCAGCTGCCGCAGCAGCCCTTCCCCCCTCCACATTGAACCCCACGTCGGGGTCGCTACTCAATGCAGTGGATGGAGGCCCCTCACATTTCTTGGCCTCAGCCACAGCTGCAGCACGTGCCCAGAGGTCAGAAGTGAGATATAACCAGAGATCCCAGACCTCCCGGACCAGATCCTGCCTCAAACGAAATGCCAGCTCCAGCTCCCACAGCTCTACGGAAGGCCTCCGGGAAGTAAAGCGGAGGAGGGGGCCAGCCTCATCCCACTGCCAGCTGGCCCACAGTTCCTCAAACACAGTGAGTGAGGACGGACCTCAGGCTGTCTCTTCGGGTCACCGCTGTGAAAACAAGGCAGGTACAGCACCAGGGCAGACACTCGCCCCCAGGGGTGGCTCCCCCAGATCCCAGGCCTCTAGGCCCCGCATCAACAGTGCACTGCACGTTGAGGACAAGGCCATCTCGGACTGCAGACCCTCACGGCCTTCCCACACTTTGTCCTCACTTGCAACAGGGGCTTCGGGTGGGCCTCCCGTTTCTAAAGCACCCACTATGGATGCACAGCAGGACAGACCCAAGTCCCAAGACTGCCTGGGCCTACTGGCCCCCCTAGCATCTGCTGCAGAGGTCTTCTCTACAGCTCCCGTGTCTGGGAAGAAGCACAGACCACCAGGACCCCTGTTCTCCTCCTCAGATCCCCTTCCTGCCACCTCTTCCCACTCCGGGGACTCAGCCCAGGACACCTCGCTGATTCCTGCCCCCTTCACACCTGCAAGCAGGGATGCCGGCATCAGAAGAATGTTTCGTGTTCGAAATTGTTTGAGGGGTTTGGGTTTATTTTTGTTGGTTTTTTCTTTTTTTTTTTTTGCTTACGTGGGCATCCTTCAGCTTTTAATAATCTGAAAAATTCTATTTACCCATTGTCAATGTGTATAAATTAATCTCAGTCAATTTTATACAATAAAAGGTGAACTTTTATCCATCAAACAATAATTTAACAAAAAATGTACCGGAAGAAGAATGTTCATTACAAATATAGGAAACATAAATATTACCAAATATTGGCAAGCACTAAAATGTTCAGAAATATAAGTCTATTACAGTTATAGCTCTCTCAAGCAAAAAAACAGCAGAGAAAAACTTAGTTTTCCTGAGGGGCTATTTATTTACTTAGGGATTTGTTAAAAGGTCAAATGGGGTCACACAGAATACTAAGAAGAGCTGTTCACCCAGGCCTCACTAAGAACTCTTCTTCATGCAGTAGCTATATAGTAATATGACAACTGCTCCTACGACCCAAAGAGGAACTACAGCAACTACTCTTTAGCATCTGTTGCTCCCAACTCTGCTTTGCAATTATATGACTCAAGCATTCTGGCTCCGTTAACTATTACTGCTGTTACTCCCAAGTAAATTCCCTCTAAAAAATAAAAATTTTTAAAGCTGTAATTTAAGCTCTCTGCTGCCTCATGACTTCAATTCCATCAGAGTTACGCATTGTTTCCTCTGTACATCTTTGCTCTGCTTCCATTGCTAATTCCCTAGTAAAGTGTTGTATATTCAAAGTTCCAAAGAAACAGAATATCCAAGACATCACCAATCATCCAAAACACAGTGTAGGAGGCCACAGTTAAGAGAAGCAACACCATTAGCTCTTTTTATAGGCTCGAGAACAACAGGATGCTTTGGTCCTGTATCAGCAGGACGCTTTTTGGGTAGATCCTACTGCCACCCTACTATCGGGTAGATCCTACTGTCACCCTAGCTATGGGCACATGTCAGAGTCCCATGTAATAAAGGAGACAAAAGGAAACCACCACGAGTATAAACTAAGAAAAGTACTCCAAGGTTTCTAAGAATGGAGCTGTATAACTCACTTTGCCCCATTTGTTACTTCTCCACGGTACTTACCACCACCTATTACATATATTTTGTTTATAGTCAGTCTTCCCCCATTAGAATGAAAGTTCCGTGAGGATAGGACTATACAGTCAGCCCTCAGTATCCATGGGGGACTGGTTTCAGGATCTCCTGAGGGTAACAAAGGATACTCAAGTCCCTGATATAAAATGACATAGTATTTGCACATCACCTTTGCACATCCTCCCATATACTTCATATCAACTCTAGATCACTCATAATATCCGATGTAAATGTCATGCAAATAGTTATTGTACTATATTGTGTAAGGAATAAGGACAAGAAAAAAGTCTGTACATGTTCAGTACAGACGCAATTTTTTTTTCCAATATTTCCAATCCTTGGTTGCCTTAACGGATGTAGAACCCAGGAATAAGTTCTGGTGTCCTATTGCATAGTAGGATGAGTATAGTTAACAATAACATATTATATATTTGAAAATAGCCAGAAGAGTAGATTTTGAATTTTCTCCCTACAGAAAAATCATTATGCAAATTACCCTGATTTGATCATTACACATTGAGTACATGTATTAAAACATCACATTCTACCCCATATATATGTACAGTTATTATGTGTCCATAAAAATTTAATGTCAATGTCTGAAATAAAATGAAAAAATAAAAATTTTTAAAGCTGTAATTATCTCCATCTGGTAGGAATATATACAATCTGAAATAAAAAATATATTTGTAATTGTTAGGACAAAATAGATTATACGTTAAGTCTGCAAATTATAAATTATAAAATTCTCACAGAACCTGAAAAATTATTGATACTGTTAAATATTTAAAAAGCTGTCCTTGGAGAGAAAGAAACCTATCAGATTTACATCAACAAGTGTAATATGTCAGCCTATTACCATCTGCTACAGACTGCATGTTTGTGTTCCCTCAAAATTCATATGATAGGCCGGGCGCGGTGGCTCATGCCTGTAATCCCAGCACTTTGGGAGGCCGAGGCGGGTGGATCATGAGGTCAGGAGATCGAGATCATCCTGGCTAACATGGTAAAACCCCGTCTCTACTGAAAATACAAAAAATTAGCCGGGCGCAGTGGCGGGCGCCTTAGTCCCAGCTACTGAGGAGGCTGACGCAGGAGAACGGCGTGAACCCAGGAGGCGGAGCTTGTAGAGAGCCGAGATTGTGCCACTGCACTCCAGCCTGGGTGACAGACAGAGCGAGACTCTGTCTCAAAAAAAAAAAAAAAAAAAAAAAAAAAAATTCATATGATAAAGCCCTAACCCCCAAGGTGAGGATACTGGGAGGCGTGGCCTTTAGGAGAGAATTAGGTTTAGATGAGGTCATGAGAATAGAGCCCCTATGGTGGCATTACTTCCTTTATAAGAAGAGACACTAGAGCTGCTTTTCTCCCTACCATGTGAGGATACCGAGAGAAGATGGCCATTTCCAATCTAGGAAGCAGGCCCTCTTTAATAAACACAATTTGCCAACACTTTGATCTTGCACTTCCAGTCTCCAGAACTGTGAGAAATATCTGTTTTTTTGTTTGTTTGTTTTTGTTTTTTTTGAGACAGAGTCTCATTCTGTCATCCAGGCTGGAGTACAGTGGTGCGATCATGGCTCACTGCAACCTCCGCCTCCCAGGTTCAAGCAATTCTCCCACCTCAGCCTCCCAAGTAGCTCAGACTACAGGCGTGCACCACCATGCCCAGCTGATTTTCGTAGAGACAAGGTTTTGCCATGCTGCCCAGGCTAGTCTCAAACTCCTGAGCTCAAGTTATCCACCTGCCTCGGCCTCCCAAAGTGTTAGGAATACAGGCATAAGCCACCACGCCTGGTCAAAATATCTACTGTTTAAGCTACCTAATTTATGGTATTCTGTTTTAGCAGCTGAAGCAGACTAAGATACCATCCTATAAGCTACAGACCAGCACTATCCAATAGAACTTTATATGACGAGCAAATGTTTTATATCTGTGCTATCCCTTATGTTAGCCACTAGCCACATGTATCCATCAAGTATTTGAAATATGGCTAGTGCAACTAAAGAACTTAATTTTTAATTTTCTTTTTTTTTTTGAGATGGAGTCTCGCTCTGTCCCCCAGGCTGGAGTGCAGTGGCGCCATCTCGGCTCACTGCAAACTCTGCCTCCCAGGTTCACGCCATTCTCCTGCCTCAGCCTCCTGAGTAGCTGGGACTGCAGGCGCCCGCCACCACGCCCGGCTAATTTTTTGTATTTTTAATAGAGATGGGGGTTCACCGTCTTAGTAAGGATGGTCTCGATCTCCTGACCTAATGATCTGCCCGCCTCGGCCTCCCAAAGTGCTGGGATTACCGGCGTGACCCACCACGCCCGGCCAATTTTTATTTTATCTTATTTAAATAACCACATGTGGCTAGTGGCTAATGTATTGAACACTACAGCTGTAGACAATACGAAATAAATATAAAGCAGTCTCAACTTTGGAAAAACAGAAGACTCTTACTGCCTCATAATATAGATGAAAAATGAAATACTAAGATAAGTAAAACGTTCTTTAAAGAACAAAAACAAAAGAAAACCTAATGAAAGCTATAAAAGTCCATTGGATAATAATGCTACCAGTACTAAGGAAGTACAGCCCCTAAGAGTGACTTGCAGTCACAAATATAAAAATGACTATTCAAGTGAACTCCTAAGGTGAAAATTTCTTATTCACCATGCTCCAAAATGGTCTGTAATATTCTTCAGAGATGGCATGGTGGGGGAGGCAAGTGGCATCTCTGCCCAGAGAGAATACACAAGCAGAAAGTTCAACACCGCTTACCTGGTGAAACCCTACAAGCGTTTCCACTCCATACGCGCTCTGAATAATGGGATTGTGATGTCTTACACCAATTCTCAAACTGGGCGGCCAGCTGCAGCTGAATCAACTCCAGGTGCCCGTAGTTGCGATACCAAGAGTAGTAGCTGTTCACACGGATCACATCCACATACAGAGCCTAGGACCAGAGCAGCAGAGCCCGTTCAGCAACCACAAGACCGCATGACTCAGTACTCACATGCTGTGGGGGCTCCTCTGACAGAGAAGGTAAGAAGGGGATGTAATCCCAGCACTCTGGGAGGCTGAGGCAGGAGGGTGGCTTGTGGCCAGGAGTTCGAGACCAGCCTGGGCAACACAGCAAGACCCCAGCTCTACAAAAAATAGTATCAAGAAAATCAGCACGGCACAGTGGCTCATGCCTGTAATCCCAGCACATTGGGAGGCCAAGGTGGGAGGATCACTTGAGCCCAGGAGTTTGAGACCAGCCTGGGCAACATCGTAGGACTCCATTTCTACAAAACAAAACAAAAAGCCTACAACGGGAAGAGCTGCCTCTCGGGGCTGAGAACATCCAACTGCACCAATTTAGATCCTGAAATTACCCTGCCCCACAAGCAAAAAACATGGTCACAAAGTGGCCCAAAGGAGGCAGGCCTGTGATTGCACACTGACGCTCACGACGTGTGCAGCTGGGAAGGGCTGTGAGAGGCAGAGCAGCTGCCAACACGCAGTCCTCAGCCAAAACCCAGGGCCCCCGCCACTGGAACTGACTCCTCTCCAGGCAGCACTCCCAGCACTGGGCATCCCCTCACCTTGCCCTGGAGAAGCCCTCCCACCCAAGGGGCCAATGCAGTCATTCTCGCAGATAATCTTTTTCCGCTTTGTTTGGAAGACAGAGTCTCGCTCTGTTGCCCAGGCTAGAATGGAGTGGCACAATAATGCAACCTCTGCCTCCCACGATCAAGCGCAGGCGTGGTGGCATGTGCCTGTTATCCCAGCTACTTGGGAGGCTGAGGCAGGAGAATTGCTTGAACCTGGGAGGCGGAGGTTGCACTGAGCTGAGACTGTGCCACTGCACTCCAGCCTGGGCAACAGAGCAAGACTCTATCTTAAAAAAATAATAAAAAATAAAAAAGAATGCTAGTATCAGCCAGGCACGGTGGCTCATGCCTGTAATCCCAGCACTTTAGGAGGCTAAGGCAGGAGGATCACTTGAGCTCAAGAGTTTGAGACTGGCCTGGGCAACATAGTGAGATCCCATCTCTACAAAAACATTTAAAATTAGCCGGGCACAGTGGTGTACACCCGGAGTCCCAGCTACTTGGAAGGCTGAGGCAAGAGGCTTGCTTAGGCCCAGGAATTCAAGGCTGCAGTGAGCTGTGATCACACCACTGCACTCCAGCCAGAGCAACAGAGTAAGACCTTGCCTTCACACACACACACAAAAAAACAAAAAACTCAGGTTCCAACCCTGGAGTTACTAAATCAGGATCTCAGAACGCAGAGATCTGGCATTTCAATAAAACTTCCCCTGGAGATTCTGATCAGCCAGGTTTGGGCCAGATGAACTCTAAGCTCACTTAAACCTTTGACATTTTATGAGTCTATTAAATCGAGTACAAAAAATGCTGAGTCCAAACCGGGCAAACAAATCCCATCTCCCTATGCCCAGCCTCCTTGGATTCAGAAAGCCACACTGCCTGGAGAGTAAGCAGAGAGAGAATTGTCATTAACCCAAAGACCATCTTTGAAAACAGACTGGCTGCGGCTGAGTGCGGTGGCACACGCCTGTAACCCCAGCCCTTTGGAAGGCCGAGGCAGGAGGATCACTTGAGCCCAGGAGTTCGAGACCAGCCTGGGCAACATGGCAAGACCCTGTCTCTATCTTTCTAAGTAAAACAAAATAAAAAGCTCAGACTGGCAGCACATGGTTCTTTCCAGCTGTTCCCATGAGCAGGCTTCAGGACAAGCCCAGGCAAAGGCAGGGAGAAATGGGGTGGGGACCCCCAGGCTCACCCCCTTGTCTGCTGCGTAGGTGGAGTTGGTCACAAAGGTCACAGGCTGGGAGGGGTCCAAGGCTTTGGTGTGAGCAATCACCATCCTGTCCACAAAAGAGAGAAGACACAGGTTCCGTCAGTCCGGGAAAGGCTCAGACACCCTCCCATCCTCTCTGTCCCATCTTCCCCTGCCAGAACACAACTGGGGGCCAGGCACGATGGCTCACGCCTGTAATCCCAGCACTTCAGGAGGCTGAGGCAGGCAGATCACTGAGGTCAGGGGTTCAAGAACCGCCTGGCCAACATGGCAAAACCCCATTTCTACTAAATATACAAAAATTAGCCAGGCATAGTGGCACGCATCTGTAACTCCAGCTACTCGGGAGGCTGAGGCACAAGAATTGCTTGAACCCGGGAGGTGGAGGTTGCAGTGAGCCGAAATCACGCTACTGCACTCCAGCCTGGGCCACAGAGCAAGACCCTGCCCCAAAACAAACAAACAAACAAACAAACAAACAAAAAAAAAAGAAAGAAAAAAAAGGAAAAAAAAAAAAAAAAACAAAGCACAGAGCCGCTGCTTTCTTCCCTAACTTGAGATGTATTTTACATAAGGGCACGTTCCTCTAGTCCTAGACCGAGCTCTCTAACAACACTCTTTCTCCCCCACCCCTGAATCCAACTCCCCCAGAGGCGTAGCCACCCTGCCGGGTACACAGAGCTGAGGTCACTGGACTGAACACTGCCAGAAATGAGGTTCACTTCCTGAAATAGCTCTTGAACACAGGAGTGAATGGGCTGTGGATTCAGGTGGAATATTTATTAATGCATCAAGCAAACAGGTAGTGCGAGGTGGGAGGTAGGCATGAGGCTGGGTGCTAGGTGCTCAGTAATGACTCAAATCTAAGTCCACAGGTCCTGGGCAGTGGGAGTGGAGATGCATGCACAGAAAAACGGTGCAAGTGCCAGGCGAGGTGGCTCACGCCTAGAACCCCAGCACTTTGGGAGGCTTACTTGAGACCAGGCGCTTGAGACCAGCCTGGACAACATAGCAAGACCTTGTTTCTACAACAAATTTAAAAATTAGGGCCGGGCATGGTGGCTCAAGCCTGTGAGCACTTTGGGAGGCCAAGGCAGGTGGATCACGAGCTCAAGAGTTCGAGACCAGCCTGGCCAACATGGTGAAACCCCATCTCAACAAAAAATAAAGAAGAAAACTAGCTGGGCATGGTGGCGTGAGCCTGTAATCCCAGCTACTCGGGAGGGTGAGGCAGGAGAACTGTTTGTACCCAGGAGGTAGAGGATGCAGTGAGCCAAGATCGCAACACTGCTCTCCAGCCTGGGAGACAGAGCAAGACTCTGACTCGTGGGGAAAAAAAAAATATTAAAATTTAGCCTGGCAAGGCAGCGCACGTCTGTGGTCCCAGCTATTTGGGAGGCTGAGTGGGGAGGATCGCTTAAGCCCAGGAGGTCGAGATGGCAACGAGCTATGATTGCACCACTGCACTCCAGCCTGGGCAACAGAGTGAGACCCTGACTCTGAAAAACAAACAATGAAAGAAATGTTGCGAATGGAAATGACAAGTGGTGGCAGGAATTGGGCACTCTATGAGACAACAGACACATCCCCGATTGGAGAGTCAGGGACAGGCTCTTAGAAGAAATGGCCTTTATGCTGAGTCAAGTTAACCAGGAGGGATGAAGGGAAGAGGCTCCCAACAGAGGGACCAGTCCGTGCTCAGAGCTCCCAGCATCTGCCCAAGGCCTCCACAGAACAGACTGTTGTGTTTTTGTTTTGTTTTGTTTTGTTGAGATACAGAGTCTCATTCTGTAGCCCAGGCTGGAATGCAGTGGCATTATCTCAGCTCATTGCAATCTCTGCCTCCTGGTTCACCTGAGGCGATTCTCCTGCCTCAGCCTACCTGGTAGCTGGGATTACAGACGTCCACCACCATGCCCAGCTAATTTTTGTATTTTTAGTAGAGACAGGATTCACTACCTGTTGACCAGGCTGGTCTCGAACTCCTGACCTCGGGTGATCCACCCACCTCAGCCTCCCAAACTGCTGGGATTACAGGCGTGACCCACCGCATCCGGCCTAGACCGTTGTTGAAGCTGGTTTTCTTCTTCTTTCCTCAGTTCTTTTCTTTTACATCTTCCCCCCATCATTGCTCTGCCCATCCGAAGGCTGTGGCTGGCACAGGACAGAATAGAACCTCCTAGCCTCAAGTTCCAAACCCACACTCTCCAATAGCCAGGCTCTCAGATGGGAAGCTTCAAAGCCTTGTGACAGCCTGGCTGAACCTCTCCAGCCTGGGCCCTCCCTCCATTTCCTGCCCCGGAAACAGGCATCTCCTCTGGCCACCTCCCAAAGCCTGTCTGGAAGCCTCAGGCACCCGCTCCTGGAAGCCTGTACGATTCACAACAAACGGCCTGTCCACCCAGTCGTGCTGAGCACACCCCTATTCCCCCGAGCTCTGAATTGTCCTTTGCCCAGGCTAGGACAACATCTCAGAGCCTTCTGCCTGCTGCAGACTCGGCTCAGCCCAAATCACTCCATGAAATTGGGGTGTGGCATCTGCCTCAAGGAGCATTTCTACAACCTCTGCTGCCTCTACCGCAAATGAAACTGGCTCTCACCCACTGGCTCTCGGTGACGGGCACAGTGCGGAGCCCCACAGGGAGTGTGTAGAAGTCAAAGGCCCCAGTGACTTCTGTGCAGTCAGCCGCACCTACGACAGCCAAAGCGCCAGGTGTGAGCGCCCCGACAGCCTGAGCCCCATCTGGCCTGCCCTACAGCAGGAAGACCCCTCGTGCATGCACCCCAGAAGTCGCCACTGGGCCTGCAGAGAAGCAGCAATCAGAGGCTCTGCCCTTCACTGGCTGACCCTGGGACCTGCCCTTCAAAATCAGGCCTTCTCCTTGACCAGACGAGGTGGCTCATGCCTGGAATCCCTACACCTTGGGAGGCTAAGGCAGGAGGATCACCTGAGTCCAGGAGTTCAAGACCAGCCTGGGCAACCTAGTAAGACCCCAACTCTATAAAAAGGAGTTTTTTTTTTTGAGACAGTCTCACTCTGTCACCCAGGATAGAGTGCTGCGGCATGATCTCAATTCACCGCGGCCCCTGCCTCCTGGGTTCAAGCAATTCCCCTGCCTCAGCCTCCCGAGTAGCTGGGATTACAGACGTGCACCATCATGCCCTGCAAATTTTCATATTTTAGTAGAGACGGGGTTTCACCATGTTGGCCAGGCTGGTCTCCAACTCCTGGCCTAAAGTGATCTGCCCGCGTCAGCCTCCCGAAGTGCTGGGATTACAGGTGTGAGCCACCATGCCCGGCCTACAAAAAAAATTTTTTTAATTAGCCAGGCATGGTGGCATGTGCCTGTAGTCCCAGCTACTCAGGAGGCCAAGGTAGGAGGATTGCAGCTCAAAGCTGCAGTGAGCTGTGATCAGGCCATTGCATTCCAGCCTGGGTGACAGAGTGAGACCATCACAAAAACAAACAAACAAACAAACAAACAAATAAATAAATAAATAAATAAAAAATCTGGGCCTCCCACCAAGGGTGGGAAACATCAGAAAGCTCAGAGGACCACACCTGCCCGTTCACCTGTCCTGGGCTCCTGCTGAAGCCAGGGCTACCAGATGGGGGCAAAAGACCTCCCTTACGCAAGTCCCAAACCACCATTACCTCCCACGAGTACAGGTAGGCGGGGTGTTCGTGCATCAGGTACGGCCACCAGAGGTTGGCACCCAGCACCTTCAGCTGGCCCTGGGTCCCAGCCTGGTTGTCCACGACTTTGTTTTCTGCATTCAAAAGACACACTTCCAACTTGAACTGGTTACTGCACTTGACGGAGATCTGGTAATTCACCAGCCCTGCAGGAGGCAAGAGAGACCAGGGCTTAGGGAGGGACATGACCTGGGTCACACAAACGGGAAGGCCCCACAATGACCACTCCCAGGCACTCTCATTTGCTTCTGTTGCTTTTTTTTTTTTTCTTTGAGATAGAATCTCGCTCTGTCACCCAGGCTGGAGTGCAGTGGCATGATCTGGACTCACTGAAACCTCTGCCTCCCAGGTTCAAGTGATTCTCCTGCCTCAGCCTCTGGAATAGCTGGGATTACAGGCACCTGCCACCACATCCAGCTAATTTTTGTATTGTTAGTAGAGACGGGGTTTCACCACATTAGCCAGGATGGTCTTGATCTCCTGACCTCGTGATCCGCCTGCCTCGGCCTCCCAAAGTGCTGGGATTACAGGCTTGAGCCACCGTGCCCGGCCCTGAACCAATGCGCCCAGCCCGCTTTTAATTTAATTTTTTAATTTTTTTTTTTTTTTTTTTTTTTGAGATGGAGTCTCACTGTCACCCAGGCTAGAGTGTAGTGCTGCGATCCTGACTCGCTGCAACCTCCACCTCTGGAGTTCAGGTGATTCTCCTGCCTCAGCCTTCCGAGTACCTGGGAATACAGGAATGCACCACCATGCCCGGCGAATTTTTCTATTTTCAGTAGAGACGGAGTTTTGCCATGTTGGCCAGGCTGGTCTCGAACTCCTGAACTCAGGTGATCTACCCGCCTCAGTCTCCCAATAGATTACATATATTATTAATGAATTGCTTCCTTTAACACCCTATTCATTGAATTTTCCAGTAAACCACAATTACTAATTACTCCTGAAATCAGAAAAGAGGTTAAAAAGATTTTATAACAGTATCCTATGAAATCTACTACTTTCAAGTAATAGTAGTTGAATTACCAAAACCCGTCACTCAAGCCAATGACTACAATTAAGATATGAGTAACATTTCCTAGATAAATAAAGTCAATTAATTATATTTGCATCTGGGAAATAGAGAAAGTACATATAAGCCATGATTTTGAAGTCAAAAGAGAGAGAATATTTGCCAAGGAGGGGTGAGTTATAGTATGTAATTATAACATACAGAAGTTTTTTGTATGCTGGTAACTAATTTTAATTTCCTACATTTTTATGTAGATTTCTGCTATTCTTGTCCTATTTTCCTAATCATCTTTCTATATGAATGACTACATAATTCTGAGAATACCAAAAGAGACAGACACAGAACCAATCGGATTCCTTTCTTCTTGAAGCTTCTGCACAGCAAAAGAAACTATCAACAGAGTGAACAGACAACCTACAGAATGGGAGAAAATTTTTGCAACAATGCATGTGACAAAGATCTAATGTCCAACACTGATAAGGAACTTAAACAAATTTACAAGGAAAAAAAAAATCTCATTAGAAAGTGGGCACAGGACATAAACAGACACTTCAAAAGAAGACACACATGCGGCCAACAAGCATATGAGAAAAAGCTCAATATCACTGATCATTAGAGAAATGCAAATCAAAACCACAATGGCATACCATCTCACACCAGTCAGTATGGTTATTATTAAGAAGTCAACGCCGGGCATGGTGGCTCACGCCTATAATCCCAGCACTTCAGGAGGCCAAGGCAGGCAGATCGCATGAGGTCAGGAGTTCCAGACCAGCCTGGACAACCTGGCGAAACCCCGTCTCTACTAAAAATACAAAAATTAGCCCAGCGTGGTGGCGGGTGCCTGTAATCCCAGCTACTCAGGATGCTGAGGCAGGAGAATCGCCTGAACCCGGGAGGCAGAGGTTGTAGTGAGCCGAGATCATACCACTGCACTCTCCAGCTTAGGTGACAGAGCGAGACTCTGTCTCAAAAAAAAAAAAAAATATTTGAATTTTGTTTAAATCGCTAACACATACTGGGCATTTAATAACAAAAAAAAAAGGACATGAGATTGTGATCCTTATGAAGGTTTGAGAGGCATTTCACTAGGGTTCAACATACAGCAGTCTGAAACATACTGTAATAATTTAATCCAATGGCTCATCTACAGCACCTAAAAAGATTACAGCAGATTCTCATTATTCAGTGTAGTTACGGTCTAGAAAGTTCCATGAACAAATAAAAAGTTAGGTTTCAGCAAGCTACTGGTCACACTTTTGTAAGCTTACCAACACCTACTTTTGTTGTATGTGTGCTTATTTAATATATATTGTTGGCCAGGCACAGTGGCTAACGCCTGTAATCCCAGCACTTTGGGAAGCCAAGGCGGGCAGATCATTTGAGGTCTGGAGTTCGAGACCAGCCTGGCCAACGTGGTGAAACCCCGTCTCTACTAAAACTACAAAAAAAAAAAAAAAAAAAAAAAATTAGCCAGGCATGGTGGCGCATGCCTGTAGTCTTAGCTACTTGGGAGGCGAAGGCAGGGGAATCGCTTGAACCCAGGAGGCAGAGGTTGCAGTGAGCCAAGACTGCACCACTGCACTCCAGCCTGAGCAACAGAGTGAGACTCTATCTCAAAAAAAATAATAATAATAATTAATTAAATGAAGAATAAATAAATAATATACATTGTTCATTCATTAACATTGAACTCACAGCCAACGGCACTACAGCACTCACGCCTGAATGGAGTTTATTTAATGCATGTATTTTCTCTGTAAGACACATCACAGACTTCTTGGACTTGTGAATGCTAAGCAGCACTTCAGCACTATGCTTGGGGGTTAATTTAAATGGCAAAACAACCAACAAACAGCACAAAAACAGGAAAAGCATGGCATTAAATAGACCACAAAAAGGATACCTGACTATTGTATGAGAGCTGAAAAAGAAGGCAGAATATCATCCTGTTCAAACTCAAATTCTTTGACACTCTGCGCAAACACATGACTATGAAAGTGCTGTGAGTACTGATTTGGGGGTTACAAAAAATAGTAGGTGAGTTCACAAATACAAAAGCTGAAAACAAGGAGGATCGACTGTATTTTCGTAGACAATCTAATCTCAGAAGATTTCAGTTCAGACAAAAATCATGATAATTACTGTATTACAAAAGGGCACTAGATAGGGGGAAAAGAGTAAAAATCACAATTAAAACAAAGGTTCAAAATTCTGCAGCAACCATATCCAGTTACACTTTAATATGTTTGTGGCAGACTACATTATTGTTCCCAACTCATCACCCCTCCCTATATCTAAAACCTTTCCCCAAGACAATGCAGTTCCTCCTGCTAGAGATCAGGTATATTTATCTATACTATCAATGTTAGCCATGGACAAGGTATGTGCTTTGGCTGACTGAATGTTAGTGGACATGAGAGAAGCAATGGCTTAAAATGTACTTCCAGAACTGGAGTTTCCTTGTGATTCTATCACTGTGACAAAAACACATTCTCAGGTAGTCCACTGATCCAAGGGGGAACAAACACACAGAAAACATACCTAGACTCTATCTGCAGCTTGCAGCCTCACCAAGCCAAGAACAGTCAACTCACAGATATGTTAGCAAAAATAAATGTTTTTCATACCTTAAGTTTTATATAATTATTGACCTACAGTTAACTGATATACAATATACATTAATCTTAAAATATCACTATCCCATTAAAAATACTTACATTAAAAACTGAGACCACTTTCTTTCCTTTTTTTTTTTTTTTTTTTTAAATTAAGAGACAGGGTGTCTCAATGTTGCCCAAGCTGGAGTTCAGTGGCTAGTGGCTATTCACAAGAACGATCATCGCACACTACCTCAAACTCCTGGGATCAAGCAATCCTCCTGCCTCAGCTTTCCAAGTCGCTGGGACTATAAGTGTGTACCACAGCATGTCAGCTCTCTCTCTCCTTCTTGACCTAAAGCCTAGCATAAAATTAGCTAAGTAGAATGTTTCCAAAGATGGCTGTATCAGTATCTCCCATCCCACATAATTTCTGTTTCATTTTGCCATTCACCCATAAAATGGTGGGATCTACCTCCCCTCCTTGCAAATTTGAGCTGGCCCTCTGATCCTAAGATCTGAAGCCAGATATTAAGGTACTTCATTAATTTCCATGTTTGTCCTCTATGCAACCTAGCAATCAAGCAAGAAGTCAAAACATACTGACATAGTTTGGATGGGTCCCCACCCAAATCTCACCTTGCATTGTAATAATTCCCACGTGTCAAGGGTGGGGCCGGGTGCAGATAACTGAATCATGGGGATGGTTCCCCCCATACTGTTCTCGCGGTAGTGACTAAGTCTCATGAGATCTGATGGTTTTATAAATGGGAGCTCCCCTGCACATGCTCTCTCCTGCCTGCCACTATGTGAGACATGCTTTTGCACCTCCTTGCCTTCCACCATGATTGTGAGGCCTCCCCAGCCATGCAGAACTGTGAGTCAATTCAACCTCTTTCCTTTATAAATTACCCAGTCTCAGGTATGTCTTTATTTGCGGTGTGAGAACAGACTAATACAATAAGTTGATACCAGTAGAGTGGGGTGCTGCTGTAAAGATACCCGAAAATGTGGAAGCAACTTTGGAAATGGGTAACAGGGAGAGGCTGGAACAGTTTGGAAGGCTCAGAAGAGGATAGGAAAATGTGGGAAAGTTTGGAACTTCCTAGAGACTTGTTGAATGGCTTTGACCAAAATGTTAATAGTGATATGGACAACAAGGTCCAGGCGGAGGTGGTCTCAGAGGGAGATGAGGAATTTGTTGGGAAATGGAGTAAAGTCACTCTTACTATGCAAAGACACTGCAGGCATTGTGCACCTGTATTAGAAACGGGCATAAGATAGGCGGGAAAGAGGGAAAATAAGAATTTCTTTCTAGAGTTCCCTACAGATCTGTGGAACTTTGAACTTGAGAGAGATGATTGAAGGTATCTGACAGAAGAAATTTCTAAGCAGCAAAGCATTCGAGAAGAAGCAGAGCATAAAAGTTCAGAAAATTTGTAGCCTGATGATGCAACAGAAAAGAAAAATCTATTTTCTCAGGAGACTGGGTTGTAGAAATTTGCATAAGTAATGAGGAGCCAAATGTTAATCACCAAGACAATGGGGCAAATGTCTCCAGGGCATGTTAGAGACCCTCACAGCAGACCCTCCCATCACAGGCCAGGAGGCTTAGAAGGAAAAATGGTTTTGTGGGTCCAGAACCCCCTGCTGTGTGCAGCCTAGGAACTTGGGGCCCTGCATCCCAGCTGCTCCTGCCATAGGTAAAAGGGGCCAAGGTACACCTCAGGCCATGGCTTCAGAGGGTGCAAGTTCCAAGCCTTTCAGGTTCTAGGTGGTGTTAAGCCTGCAGATGCACCAAAGTCAAGAATTAACGTTCATGAACCTCCGCCTACATTTCAGAAGATGTATGAAAATGCCTGGAAATCCAGGCAAAAGTTTGCTGTGGGGGGGAGGGGAGGGGGGGGCCCTCATGGATAACCTCTGCTAGGACAGTGTCAAAGGGAAATATGGGGTTGGAGCTCCCACACAGAGTCCCCACTGGGGTACTGCCAAGCAGAGCTGTGAGAAAAGGGCCACCATCCTCCAGACCCCAGAATGGTAGATCCACTGACAGCTTGCACTGTGTGCCTGGAAAAGCTGCAGACACTCAATGCAGCCAGAAGGGGGGCTGTACCCTGCAAAGCCACAGGGGCGGGGCTGCCCAAGACCCTGGGAACCCACTTCTTGCATCACCTAGATGTGACACATGGAGTCAAAGGAGGTCATTTTGGAGCTTTAAGATTTGCCTGCTGGGTTTTGGACTTGCATGGGGCCTGTAGCTCTTTCGCTTTGGCCAATTTCTCCCATTTGAAACGAGTGTATTTACCCAATGCCTGTATCCCTGTGTATCTAGAAAATAACTAACTTGCTTTTGATTTTACAGGCTCATAGGTGGAAGGGACTTGCCTTGTCTCAGATGAGACTTTGGACTATGGAATTTTGAGTTAATGCTGAAATAAGAGTTTGGGGGACTTAGGGGAAGGCATGATTGCTTTTGAAATATGAGGACATGAGATTTGGGAGGGGCCGGGGAAGAATTATATGGTTTGGCTCTGTCCGCACCCAAATCTCATCTTGAATTGTAACAATTCCCATGTGTCAAGGGTGGGGCCAGGTGGAGATAACTGAATCATGGAGGCAGTTTCCCCCATGCTGTTCTCATGGTAGTGAATAAGTCTCATGAGGTCTGATGGTTTTATAAATGGATGTTCCCCTGCACATGCTCTCTCCTGCCCACCATGTCTGACTAAATTTTGTATTTTTACTAGAGACGGGCTTTCACTATGTTGGCCAGGCTGGCCTCCAACTCCTGATCTCGTGATCCGTCCACCCCGACCTCCCAAAGTGCTAGGATCATAGGCATAAGCCACCACACCCGGCCTCTTTTTTTTCTTTTTCTTTTTTTTATCTGGAGACTGAGTTTTGCACTCGTTGCCCAGGCTGGAGTGCAATGGTGCGATCTCAGCTCACTGCAGTCTCCACCTCAGCAGGAGAGCAGGAATCTTCAGTGATCCACGGGCAAATATGCAGCCATTGTGGGCACCTGTTCCTCCCGCGACCTTTGTGCCCACGTCTCTCCCTCCAGTACCTACTGCACGACCCCCCACGTCCGCCTCCTGCCATTGCCAGCAGGTGCCTTGCGCGGGTACCTGGCTGCGCTTATTCATCCATTATGGTCGCTCTGTCACTGGTGCCATTATGTGCTCACATGCCCACTCCCTCAGGTTTAGAAGTCGCGTTGCCCGGCAACAGAACAATCTGCTGGCTTAGCCTTTGGCCAAGTTGGCAGCTGGACGAGGACGCTCAGAGCCCAGCTCTTGAGAGTTCAAGTATCCGACAGTTCCCCACTGCTCCCAGGAGCGGTTACCCGGGCACTCTGTGCCCCTCATTCCTGTTTGGGCCAAGGCCGAGGACCTGCGAGTAGGGCTCAGTTGCCTGGAGCCCCTTCAGCCCATCCCCCAGTTCACTTTGCTTGTGGGATCTCCCCGTTGCTCCTGCCCCTGGACTGAGTGGCAGGCCATCCTACAAACACCCGCACACTCGACATCACTGGTGTCAAGACAACTCTAAGAAGGTTTCAAGTGATCCTGCAAGACCTGTGTTCCATCCTGGTGATTCTGTCTTCAATTTCACTGCACAGGTACCACAGTAAGCCAGTGCTGTGTGCTCCGAGTTCCAGGGCATCCCCCAGCTCAGCCACTACACTGAGCACAAGGACTCTGTGGGGCCCAGGAGCAGGTAGTCACCCCTTTGGGGTCCACAACACCCGGCTGTCCCCAGACTTGTGTCCAGGGAAGATAGTGTTGAGGGCCCTCAAGGAGAGCGGGGCAGGGATGCCTGAGCAGCACAAGGACCCCAGAGTCCAAGAAAATCCTGATGATCAGAGAACGGTCCCCGAGGTCACCGGGGATGCACGGTCTGCATTTTGGCCCCTGCGGGACAATGGAGGCCCCTCTCCCTTTGTGCCCAGGCCCGGGCCTCTGCAGACAGACCTCCACGCCCAGAGCTCAGAAATCAGATATAACCACACATCCCAGACATCCTGGACGAGCTCGAGCACCAAACGAAATGCCATCTCCAGCTCCTACAGCTCCACGGGAGGCTTGCCGGGGCTAAAGCAGAGGAGGGGGCCAGCCTCATCCCGCTGCCAGCTGACCCTCAGTTACTCAAAGACAGTGAGTGAGGACAGGCCTCAGGCTGTCTCTTCGGGTCACACACGGTGTGAAAAGGGGGCAGATACAGCACCAGGGCAGACAATCGCCCCAACGGGTGGCTCCCCCAGATCCCAGGACTCTAGGCCCCGTAGACGCAAGATTCCCCTGCTGCCACGCAGGCGAGGGGAGCCTTTGATGCTGCCACCTCCCTTAGAGCTGGGGTACCGGGTCACGGCTGAAGACCTGCACCTGGAAAAAGAGACGGCATTCCAGCGCATCAACAGTGCACTGCACGTTGAGGACAAGGCCATCCCGGACTGCAGACCCTCACGGCCTTCCCACACTTTGTCCTCACTTGCAACAGGGGCTTCGGGTGGGCCTCCCGTTTCTAAAGCACCCACTATGGATGCACAGCAGGACAGACCCAAGTCCCAAGACTGCCTGGGCCTAGTGGCCCCCCTAGCATCTGCTGCAGAGGTCCCCGCTACAGCTCCCGTGTCTGGGAAGAAGCACAGACCACCAGGACCCCTGTTCTCCTCCTCAGATCCCCTTCCTGCCACCTCTTCCCACTCCCGGGACTCAGCCCAGGTCACCTCGATGATTCCTGCCCCCTTCACAGCTGCAAGCAGGGATGCCGGCATGAGAAGAACAAGGTCGCCTCCTGCAGCTGCCGCAGCAGCCCCTCCCCCCTCCACATTGAACCCCACGTCGGGGTCGCTACTCAATGCAGTGGATGGAGGCCCCTCACATTTCTTGGCCTCAGCCACAGCTGCAGCACGTGCCCAGAGGTCAGAAGTGAGATATAACCAGAGATCCCAGACCTCCCGGACCAGATCCTGCCTCAAACGAAATGCCAGCTCCAGCTCCCACAGCTCTACGGAAGGCCTCCAGGAAGTAAAGCGGAGGAGGGGGCCAGCCTCATCCCACTGCCAGCTGGCCCACAGTTCCTCAAACACAGTGAGTGAGGACGGACCTCAGGCTGTCTCTTCGGGTCACCGCTGTGAAAACAAGGCAGGTACAGCACCAGGGCAGACACTTGCCCCCAGGGGTGGCTCCCCCAGATCCCAGGCCTCTAGGCCCCACATCAACACTGCACTGCACGTTGAGGACAAGGCCATCTCGGACTGCAGACCCTCACGGCCTTCCCACACTTTGTCCTCACTTGCAACAGGGGCTTCGGGTGGGCCTCCCGTTTCTAAAGCACCCACTATGGATGCACAGCAGGACAGACCCAAGTCCCAAGACTCCCTGGGCCTACTGGCCCCCCTAGCATCTGCTGCAGAGGTCCCCTCTACAGCTCCCGTGTCTGGGAAGAAGCACAGACCACCAGGACCCCTGTTCTCCTCCTCAGATCCCCTTCCTGCCACCTCTTACCACTCCCGGGACACAGCACAGGTCACCTCGCTGATTCCTGCCACCTTCACAGCTGCAAGCAGGGATGCCGGCATGAGAAGAACAAGGTCGGCTCCTGCAGCTGCCACAGCAGCCCCTCCCCCCTCCACATTGAACAACACGTCGGGGTCACTACTCAATGCAGTGGATGGAGGCCCCTCACATTTCTTGGCCTCAGCCACAGCTGCAGCACGTGCCCAGAGGTCAGAAGTGAGATATAACCAGAGATCCCAGACCTCCCGGACCAGATCCTGCCTCAAACGAAATGCCAGCTCCAGCTCCAGCTCCCACAGCTCTACGGAAGGCCTCCAGGAACTAAAGCGGAGGAGGGGGCCAGCCTCATCCCACTGCCAGCTGGCCCACAGTTCCTCAAACACAGTGAGTGAGGACGGACCTCAGGCTGTCTCTTCGGGTCACCGCTGTGAAAACAAGGCAGGTACAGCACCAGGGCAGACACTCGCCCCCAGGGGAGGCTCCCCCAGATCCCAGGCCTCTAGGCCCCACATCAACAGTGCACTGTACGTTGAGGACAAGGCCATCTCGGACTGCAGACCCTCACGGCCTTCCCACACTTTGTCCTCACTTGCAACAGGGGCTTCGGGTGGGCCTCCCGTTTCTAAAGCACCCACTATGGACGCACAGCAGGACAGACCCAAGTCCCAAGACTGCCTGGGCCTAGTGGCCCCCCTAGCATCTGCTGCAGAGGTCCCCTCTACAGCTCCCGTGTCTGGGAAGAAGCACAGACCACCAGGACCCCTGTTCTCCTCCTCAGATCCCCTTCCTGCCACCTCTTCCCACTCCCGGGACTCAGCCCAGGTCACCTCGCTGATTCCTGCCACCTTCACAGCTGCAAGCAGGGATGCCGGCATGAGAAGAACAAGGCCTGGCACCTCGGCTCCTGCAGCTGCCGCAGCAGCCCTTCCCCCCTCCACATTGAACCCCACGTCGGGGTCGCTACTCAATGCAGTGGATGGAGGCCCCTCACATTTCTTGGCCTCAGCCACAGCTGCAGCACGTGCCCAGAGGTCAGAAGTGAGATATAACCAGAGATCCCAGACCTCCCGGACCAGATCCTGCCTCAAACGAAATGCCAGCTCCAGCTCCCACAGCTCTATGGAAGGCCTCCAGGAAGTAAAGCGGAGGAGGGGGCCAGCCTCATCCCACTGCCAGCTGGCCCACAGTTCCTCAAACACAGTGAGTGAGGACGGACCTCAGGCTGTCTCTTCGGGTCACCGCTGTGAAAACAAGGCAGGTACAGCACCAGGGCAGACACTCGCCCCCAGGGGTGGCTCCCCCAGATCCCAGGCCTCTAGGCCCCGCATCAACAGTGCACTGCACGTTGAGGACAAGGCCATCTCGGACTGCAGACCCTCACGGCCTTCCCACACTTTGTCCTCACTTGCAACAGGGGCTTCGGGTGGGCCTCCCGTTTCTAAAGCACCCACTATGGATGCACAGCAGGACAGACCCAAGTCCCAAGACTGCCTGGGCCTACTGGCCCCCCTAGCATCTGCTGCAGAGGTCTCCTCTACAGCTCCCGTGTCTGGGAAGAAGCACAGACCACCAGGACCCCTGTTCTCCTCCTCAGATCCCCTTCCTGCCACCTCTTCCCACTCCGGGGACTCAGCCCAGGACACCTCGCTGATTCCTGCCCCCTTCACACCTGCAAGCAGGGATGCCGGCATCAGAAGAATGTTTCGTGTTCGAAATTGTTTGAGGGGTTTGGGTTTATTTTTGTTGGTTTTTTCTTTTTTTTTTTTTGCTTACGTGGGCATCCTTCAGCTTTTAATAATCTGAAAAATTCTATTTACCCATTGTCAATGTGTATAAATTAATCTCAGTCAATTTTATACAATAAAAGGTGAACTTTTATCCATCAAACAATAATTTAACAAAAAATGTACCGGAAGAAGAATGTTCATTACAAATATAGGAAACATAAATATTACCAAATATTGGCAAGCACTAAAATGTTCAGAAATATAAGTCTATTACAGTTATAGCTCTCTCAAGCAAAAAAACAGCAGAGAAAAACTTAGTTTTCCTGAGGGGCTATTTATTTACTTAGGGATTTGTTAAAAGGTCAAATGGGGTCACACAGAATACTAAGAAGAGCTGTTCACCCAGGCCTCACTAAGAACTCTTCTTCATGCAGTAGCTATATAGTAATATGACAACTGCTCCTACGACCCAAAGAGGAACTACAGCAACTACTCTTTAGCATCTGTTGCTCCCAACTCTGCTTTGCAATTATATGACTCAAGCATTCTGGCTCCGTTAACTATTACTGCTGTTACTCCCAAGTAAATTCCCTCTAAAAAATAAAAATTTTTAAAGCTGTAATTTAAGCTCTCTGCTGCCTCATGACTTCAATTCCATCAGAGTTACGCATTGTTTCCTCTGTACATCTTTGCTCTGCTTCCATTGCTAATTCCCTAGTAAAGTGTTGTATATTCAAAGTTCCAAAGAAACAGAATATCCAAGACATCACCAATCATCCAAAACACAGTGTAGGAGGCCACAGTTAAGAGAAGCAAGACCATTAGCTCTTTTTATAGGCTCGAGAACAACAGGATGCTTTGGTCCTGTATCAGCAGGACGCTTTTTGGGTAGATCCTACTGCCACCCTACTATCGGGTAGATCCTACTGTCACCCTAGCTATGGGCACATGTCAGAGTCCCATGTAATAAAGGAGACAAAAGGAAACCACCACGAGTATAAACTAAGAAAAGTACTCCAAGGTTTCTAAGAATGGAGCTGTATAACTCACTTTGCCCCATTTGTTACTTCTCCACGGTACTTACCACCACCTATTACATATATTTTGTTTATAGTCAGTCTTCCCCCATTAGAATGAAAGTTCCGTGAGGATAGGACTATACAGTCAGCCCTCAGTATCCATGGGGGACTGGTTTCAGGATCTCCTGAGGGTAACAAAGGATACTCAAGTCCCTGATATAAAATGACATAGTATTTGCACATCACCTTTGCACATCCTCCCATATACTTCATATCAACTCTAGATCACTCATAATATCCGATGTAAATGTCATGCAAATAGTTATTGTACTATATTGTGTAAGGAATAAGGACAAGAAAAAAGTCTGTACATGTTCAGTACAGACGCAATTTTTTTTTCCAATATTTCCAATCCTTGGTTGCCTTAACGGATGTAGAACCCAGGAATAAGTTCTGGTGTCCTATTGCATAGTAGGATGAGTATAGTTAACAATAACATATTATATATTTGAAAATAGCCAGAAGAGTAGATTTTGAATTTTCTCCCTACAGAAAAATCATTATGCAAATTACCCTGATTTGATCATTACACATTGAGTACATGTATTAAAACATCACATTCTACCCCATATATATGTACAGTTATTATGTGTCCATAAAAATTTAATGTCAATGTCTGAAATAAAATGAAAAAATAAAAATTTTTAAAGCTGTAATTATCTCCATCTGGTAGGAATATATACAATCTGAAATAAAAAATATATTTGTAATTGTTAGGACAAAATAGATTATACGTTAAGTCTGCAAATTATAAATTATAAAATTCTCACAGAACCTGAAAAATTATTGATACTGTT
The DNA here is from genome assembly GCF_000001405.40 of Homo sapiens. Classification (NCBI taxonomy): domain Eukaryota; kingdom Metazoa; phylum Chordata; class Mammalia; order Primates; family Hominidae; genus Homo; species Homo sapiens. The sequence goes on from NW_003315917.2 coordinate 658,434, forward strand.
AAATATTTAAAAAGCTGTCCTTGGAGAGAAAGAAACCTATCAGATTTACATCAACAAGTGTAATATGTCAGCCTATTACCATTTGCTACAGACTGCATGTTTGTGTTCCCTCAAAATTCATACGATAGGCCGGGCGCGGTGGCTCATGCCTGTAATCCCAGCACTTTGGGAGGCCGAGGCGGGTGGATCATGAGGTCAGGAGATCGAGATCATCCTGGCTAACATGGTAAAACCCCGTCTCTACTGAAAATACAAAAAATTAGCCGGGCGCAGTGGCGGGCGCCTTAGTCCCAGCTACTGAGGAGGCTGACGCAGGAGAACGGCGTGAACCCAGGAGGCGGAGCTTGTAGAGAGCCGAGATTGTGCCACTGCACTCCAGCCTGGGTGACAGACAGAGCGAGACTCTGTCTCAAAAAAAAAAAAAAAAAAAAAAAAAAAAAATTCATATGATAAAGCCCTAACCCCCAAGGTGAGGATACTGGGAGGCGTGGCCTTTAGGAGAGAATTAGGTTTAGATGAGGTCATGAGAATAGAGCCCCTATGGTGGCATTACTTCCTTTATAAGAAGAGACACTAGAGCTGCTTTTCTCCCTACCATGTGAGGATACCGAGAGAAGATGGCCATTTCCAATCTAGGAAGCAGGCCCTCTTTAAGAAACACAATTTGCCAACACTTTGATCTTGCACTTCCAGTCTCCAGAACTGTGAGAAATATCTGTTTTTTTGTTTGTTTGTTTTTGTTTTTTTTGAGACAGAGTCTCATTCTGTCATCCAGGCTGGAGTACAGTGGTGCGATCATGGCTCACTGCAACCTCCGCCTCCCAGGTTCAAGCAATTCTCCCACCTCAGCCTCCCAAGTAGCTCAGACTACAGGCGTGCACCACCATGCCCAGCTGATTTTCGTAGAGACAAGGTTTTGCCATGCTGCCCAGGCTAGTCTCAAACTCCTGAGCTCAAGTTATCCACCTGCCTCGGCCTCCCAAAGTGTTAGGAATACAGGCATAAGCCACCACGCCTGGTCAAAATATCTACTGTTTAAGCTACCTAATTTATGGTATTCTGTTTTAGCAGCTGAAGCAGACTAAGATACCATCCTATAAGCTACAGACCAGCACTATCCAATAGAACTTTATATGACGAGGAAATGTTTTATATCTGTGCTATCCCTTATGTTAGCCACTAGCCACATGTATCCATCAAGTATTTGAAATATGGCTAGTGCAACTAAAGAACTTAATTTTTAATTTTCTTTTTTTTTTTTGAGATGGAGTCTCGCTCTGTCCCCCAGGCTGGAGTGCAGTGGCGCCATCTCGGCTCACTGCAAACTCTGCCTCCCAGGTTCACGCCATTCTCCTGCCTCAGCCTCCTGAGTAGCTGGGACTGCAGGCGCCCGCCACCACGCCCGGCTAATTTTTTGTATTTTTAATAGAGATGGGGGTTCACCGTCTTAGTAAGGATGGTCTCGATCTCCTGACCTAATGATCTGCCCGCCTCGGCCTCCCAAAGTGCTGGGATTACCGGCGTGAGCCACCACGCCCGGCCAATTTTTATTTCATCTTATTTAAATAACCACATGTGGCTAGTGGCTAATGTATTGAACACTACAGCTGTAGACAATACGAAATAAATATAAAGCAGTCTCCACTTTGGAAAAACAGAAGACTCTTACTGCCTCATAGTATAGATTAAAAAATGAAATACTAAGACAAGTAAAACGTTCTTTAAAGAACAAAAACAAAAGAAAACCTAATGAAAGCTAAAAAAGTCCATTGGATAATAATGCTACCAGTACTAAGGAAGTACAGCCCCTAAAAGTGACTTGCAGTCACAAATATAAAAATGACTATTCAAGTGAACTCCTAAGGTGAAAATTTCTTATTCACCATGCTCCAAAATGGTCTGTAATATTCTTCAGAGATGGCATGGTAAAGTACGATAAAAGGGTAATATTAACAGTATGCTGTCACAGGTGCCATTCTCTTAAAAAAGAAATCCAAAAATAAATATAAATGGAAAGCAAATAATTAATGGAGTTTTGACGGTCAATCAATGGTAAATATTATTGGCATTAGATTTTTCTATTAATTATAGTTTACCTATGATCATGTATTTTTCCATTTAAAAATTACCCTAAAACTTAATGGCTTAAAATAACAAATATGTATGACACAATTTATAGAAGTCAGGGAAATGATGGATTTGGGTAGGTGGTTCTGACTCGAAGTCTCTCATGAGTAAAGGTTGCTGTCATGTTGTTGACCCAGGCAGCATCCCCTGAAGCCTTTAACTTGTGTTGGAAGGTCCGTGTCTTAGTTTGTTTGCACTGTCGCTACAGAATACCATAGACAGGGTAGCTTATAAACAACAGAAACGTTTCTAATGGTACCGGAGGCTGGATGGTGCAAAATCAAGGTGCTTGCAGATTTGGTGTCTGGTCAGAGCCCATTTTTTAGTTCATAGATTACTGTCCTCTAGCTCACATGGCAGAAGGGGCAAGGACGCTTTTTGGGGTCTCTTTTACAAGGGCACTAATCCCCGGCTGGGCACGGTGGCTCACATCTGTAATCCCAGTACTTTGGGAGGCTGAGGCAGGCAGATCACGAGGTCAGGAGTTCCAGACCAGCCTGGCCAGTATGGTGAAACCCCGTCTCTACTAAAAATACAAAAATTAGCCAGGTGTGGTGGTGCGTACCTGTAGTCTCAGCTACTCAGCTACTCAGGAGGCTGAGGCAGAAGAAACACTTGAACCCAGGAGGCAGACGCTGCAGTGAGCTGACATGGCACCACTGCACTCCAGCCTGGGTAACAGAGCAAAACTCTGTCTCAAAAAATAAATAAATAAATAAATAAAAATAAAAATAAAAAATAATAATCAAGGCACTAATCCCCAACATGAAGACAGACTATCATCTACCAAAAGCTCCACCTCCTACTATCATTACACTGGGGGTTAGGATTTCACAAATTCAGTGCATCATAGTCTGCTTCTAGAATGTTTAATCATTTGGCTGGATATCAGATAGGATGCCTCGGTTCTTCATGTGAGCTTTCTAGAAAAGATAGTTTGGAATTATTTGCATGGTGGCTGGGCTCGTAAAGAGTTGAAGGAGAGAAAGAGAGAGAAACACCAGTAAGGAGCAAATTAGTTCACTCAAAATTAAAACCCTAGCCTTTGTGACCTTGTCTCAGAAGGTAACATTCCAATCCTGCGGTGTTTTATTTCTTAGATGGGAGTCACTCAGCTTAGCCTGCCTTCAAGGGGAGGAGTATGAAGCTCCACTTCTTAAACTGAGAAGAATCAACAAATATGTAGATATATATATTTTTAATAGTATTACAGTTCATGAACCCATTTAAACCCATTTTAGAACTTTAAAGAAATATTTTAAAACGGAATTTTCAATTAAGCAGAAGAAATTGCCAGCTGTGGAACAGTGAACTTTATCGCTGAAATCACACACACATATATACACACACACAGTGCAAACTCATACATGATCAAATCTATAATCTTATTACACAAAGTTTTGTGAGAGGAAAAATGCTTGACTTTTCAAAAGGGCTCATTTATTAAAAATAAAATGACCATTGTGTTCATTTTAGCTGCAACCTTTAAGCAATCAATGACTATATACTTGCTGTAATCATCCTTTAAAATTAGAATTATTGAAAAGCTTTATCACTGATGAATGAAAGAAAGTAATATTGATTTGTGGCCAAGAGAGATAATCTCAGGCAATAAACAGGTGCAGTCTTTGAAGGAATCATTTTATTTTATTACTTTCTGACATTATTGAAGCCAATTTTAAATAAATTCATCATGTTTTTAAATTTAATCACGTATTATTTTATCATACATTAGGTAAAGTTTCAATCTAAGTAACTCCTGGATAAAAAATGAAGTATATCAATTTACAATTACAAATACCCAAATTGTACAGGCATGCATTTTTCAATGACATTTATAAATTGTGTTTTGTTGTTTGTGCCTTGTGTTTGTTTTATTAATCAAATTAATTTATACAGATATATGTATGGAAATGAGACAGATATAACCAGTTCTCTATAAGTAAGCATTATCTAATGGAGTCTTTCCTTTCACTAATGATCATCAGGACAGCTAGGGAAGTGAGTTGAAATTTTCAGGCCATTAGGTTAATAGTTCTAGTAATTCTAGTAATGTTTCGACAGTCATAATATAAATGATACTATGTGGCTTGAATTAATGCATTTTCTTATGTAACAAATAATAAGACAATTTTTAAAAGTGGTAATTACTATTTTTAAATATGACAATTAAAAATAATGAAAGAAAAGAGGTTGTACATTGAGTAGCCATAACATTATCTTTAAACATATTTATTCTTCATTTCCTAACTTTTCCCACCTTTTGGCTAAATCGTATGTTCTTTCTCTAACCTCACTTCTGTTTTATTACTCTCTGGGAAAGATTTTTATATAAAACGTCTAAGCAATCAAACCTAACACAGGATGAATTTCTACACATTACTATACCCTCTGGTCACTATTTTTTTCTTCTCTTTATTGCCCATTTCCCTGATCTTGAAACATTCCAATTATTTGCCTTCCATGACATTCTACTCTTACTTTTACTTTTCTGTCTCTGATTACTCATTTCCAGTTCCTTTTGTCATCTCCTTGTCTTCCTACACCTGCCAATTAAATTTGAATTTCCTCTGCATTTCATCTTATGTCTCCTTTTCTTCTGCCAAATTCTCTCCTTAGACAAATACAGTCATTCCCATGGTTTTATATCCCACTTATATTCAAGGGCTCTAGAATGTATAGCGCCAGGCCAAATCTATCTTAAGAACTTACTTTACTTAACCAATTACAACTGCATCTGCTCAGGATCATGTAACCCACATCAGCATTTGGCTCTTCTGTAGACCCATTTTTTCTTTTCCTGGAAGTCTATTTTGACACCTACTTTCTGTCACTACCCACGTTTTAGCATTTAGCCTTGTCAATTTACTCTCATCCATATGTAACTCTATCCATTTTCTTCTCTCTATTATGAACAGCAGTTTGAGCCATCATGACCAATTTTGCAGTATCCCTTCTTAAATTAGCCTCCTGTTTCGCATTGGACATTTTCACCCCCCAGCAATTCCACCGATTTCATTCTCGGAAAAATATAAATGAAGAGTTACATTTTTCAATAGCCATAATCATTAAATTTCCATGTGTAAGAAAATGTTCAGAACAGTATCAGTGCATTTATAATAAAATTTTAAAACTTGACCCACAAATCTCTACTTGTCCTTCTAGTTTTATTTCATTTGTCTCTCGTCAATCTCTACATTCTGATCACCACAATCTTTTAATTCATCTGAAAGCTAAGCTCTCTCTTAATTTACATTCTCTATACTTGCAATTTTGTCTACCTAGAAGTGTCTTCTTCCATCTTTGGATTGTTATTGCAAATCCATTGAATAGTTCTCATCTGAATTGTTTCTTCCTTGGGATGACTTATAAACACTTCATCCTACAGCCAAATCAGAAGACCAATATCAAAATCTTTCATCACATCCTAAATTTGCTTATATGTAATTATATGGCAAGAATCTCTTTGTCTTTATAATCATGATTCACTTATCTATGTTTTTTAAAAACTCTTCTAGGTGGTGATGCTAAGCTCCGTAATGTTGGGCTTGTTACCTGTCTCAACTATCTTCCACACCTACCACAGTACCTGCTACATAGATGTATTCAATATATATTTTTAGAATTAGTAAATGATGAGCAAGCGTGTACTTTTGTTCTCTTTCATTACAGTGTTAGAAATGCTATTACAGCATTAGAAAAGATAATCAGAAAGAAAATTTAATAGATCATCAGAAAAAAATCCCAAGACTTTTAGGCAAATGAGCCTACAAACACAGGTGGAATGGACTTGCAATTTACCAAGAAATAGGTTTGTCATACTTAGAAACCAACTGTATAAACATGTTTTTATCTATTAATAACTCCATTTTCCAAAACGCTCTACTTTATATGAGACAATTCTTGATGGAAATACCATTTGCTTCTAGGCTCGTTGCTTAAACATAAAGTTAAAAATCTTTGTATGACACATAAAATTGTGGTGACTGCTTAACTTTGCAACTATAGCGCTCCTGAAATGCTCATTTAACCAGTCTGTGTTCCAGACCTACAGAACTTAGATGGTGCTAACATTGCGCAAAAATTGTGTATTTCTTCTACAACTAACTTCTGATAAAAAGGGGGCAGAGAAGGTTAACTCTCTCCCCCTTTAGCTTTATTTGCTTAGTGAATTTCTACAAAACATAATTTAAGTGCTATATTTTTCCAAGGTTTTAATAAGGAAATAAAAACCGCAATAGGTATCTTAAGCAGAAAGTGCATTTCATACATATACAATAGGAAGGGCTAAAATAACTAAAGTAGCTGTGGCATGGAGGAAGGTTTTGAGTTCTTGAATTCAAAGGCACGCAATCATTTCTGCAATCCTGGGTCAAAAAGATGCTCCTACTATTAAAACTTTAAGCCTCTTATGCCCATGAAACTGGGGATTAGGCACAAGGATATTGAATCCTACCACTTCCACTACTTCTGAACTATTGTCCCCATGATTTCACTTGCCAGAATCAACAATAGCAAGACAGGCTTTGATCTCTTCCATTTTTCTAAGTCTGATTCATATGCAAACAATCGGTAAGTGGTCTAAGCTGCATTCATAAAGCTAGCTCAAGGGAAGCTGCATTGCTTGTTTTGTTTTAATTTTCTAACCTCTTCAAAGAGTGGAACGAAAGTTGAGGAAACCTGTCCAACAGTCTACCACACACCTTCCATGAAAGGTTCCCCAACACCTCCAACAAAATAATGTAAACACATGCTGGAACCTGTATTACTCTCGCACCATAACACTTCCCACACTTCCCACGATACTTTTTCTCTTCATGGGAATATCCTTCCAAAACATGCTGATATCTCCTAAGCATTATTCATCTGTCGAATTTTCCCACCTATTGTAAGGTCTTCCAATTGTTAGGTTCTTAATAAATACATTTTAAATTATTAAAATTCTGAACTAATGGGTAATCAACTGTACAACCCGAATTGCTGATTTGCATACAGCTGAAGTCCCTCCTCAAAACTTCTGTAATACATGAAACTTAGGCAAATGGTTGGGTCATTACCATATATTACTTTATATTTTTATTTATCAGTATATGTGATTACAGTTATGCTTATGTTAATTGATATGTATATGTTAACTTTTATACATATGTACATTGTATTATTTTGTTACATAGCACAGCATTTTGTACTCAAAAAGTGACCAATAATAATAAGCTACATACTTTGGGAAGCATTGCAGGCTAGTCGTACAGTTTTGTTTTGTTTTTTTCCCTGCAGCCTGACAACCTTTTCAGTCATTCACTAAACCTCTCTCAGCTTCAGTTTCTTCATCTGCAACATATAGCAAATAATAAAACTTAACTCAGATGGTTCTAGTGTGAAATAATACAGAGTAAATGTGCCACCAAATACAAACCAATGGCTTGATTGACATAACTCACTGCTAATTTTCTTGAAATGATTCAAAGTATTTTCCAGACAAGCACACACTGAGGGAATTCGTCACCACCAAACGAGTCCTATGAGAAATACTCAAAGGTGTCCCAAACACAAAAATGAAAGGTCAACATTCATCATCATCATCAAAACACATGAAAGTAGCAAACTCATAGGTCTTGTAAAACAGTCACACAAAGTAGGACGAGCAATCAAATAGCAACACAACAGATTTCCACCAAACCACAAAGACAAAGAGACACACAGAAAGAAAAACAAAAAACAACAACAAAATAACCCCAAGGAACTTATAAAACAAGTAGAACACAAACAGCAATATGGCAGAAAGAAAAACTCATGTATTAACATTAACCTTGAATGTAAATGAATTAAACATTCCACTTAAAATATATAGATTGATAGATATTGGGCCAGGTGCAGTTGCTCACACCTGTAATCCCAGCACTTTGGGAGGCCGAGGTGGGTGGATCACGAGGTCAGGAGTTCGAGGCCAGGCTGGCCAACATAGTGAAACCCTATCTCCATTAAAAATACAAAAATTAGCCAGGCGTGGTGGCCGGCACCTGTAATCCCATCTACTTGGGAGGCTGAAGCAGGAGAATCGCTTGAACCTGCAAGACGGAGTTTGCAGTGAGCCAAGATTGCGCCACTGCACTCCACTCTGGATGACAGAGTGAAACTCCATCTAAAAGTAAAAAAAAAAAAAAAAGAAAGGTAGATTGATGGAACGAACTAAAAAATGATCCAAAAATATTATGCTTACAAGAAACATATAGACACATACAGACTGAAAAGTAAAGACACATACAGATTTAAAGTAAATGGGTGAAAAAAGATACTCCATGTAACGGAGACTAAAAGCAAGCAGGAATAGCTATACTTATATCAAGTAAAACAGAACTTAAATCTAAAACAGTATAACAATGACAAAGGAAGTCATTACATAATGATAAAGGGATCAATTCAGCAAGAGGATATAACAATTCTAAACACATATGCATCCAACACTAGACCACCAAGATTCATCAAATAAATATTACTAGACATAAAAAAGGAATAGACAGCAATACGATAATACTGGGGGACTTTACCATCTCACTCACAGCATTAAATGTTATCATCAAGACAGAAAACAAATAAACCTAAGACTTAAATTCAACCTTAGATGAAATAGACCTAACTGACATTTACAGAAAATACTACCCAGCAACTACAGAATATACATTCTTAATAAAACCGCAATTTCACCCAACAATCCCACTACTGGAGATCTACCCAAAGGAGAACAGATAATTGTATGAAAAAGGTATCTGCACCCATATGTTTATCACAGCACTATTCACAATAGCAATGTGTCCCTCAGTGGATGATTACATTAATAAATCTGGCACATATGCGCTATAGAATACTATTCAGCTATACAAAAGAATAAAATCATGTCTTTTGTAACAACATGGATGTAACTGGTCATTATTTTAAGTGAAACAAATCAGACACAGAAAGACAAATACTGCATGTTCTCACTTATAACTGGAAGCTAAATAATGTATACACATGGACATAGAATGTGGAATGATAGACAACAGAGACTTGGAAATTTCAGGAGGGTGGGAGGAGGGGATGATGAGAAATTATGTAATGAGTACAATGTACATTTTTCAGGTGATGTATATTCTAAAACCCTTACTTCAACACTATGTACTTTATGGAGGTAATAAGATTATATTTGTATCCCATAAATTTACATAAATAAAAAATTGCCTTCTGTACTTACTTTAGCCCAGTTATTGTTAGGTTCAACATTCAGCACTTTACTCAAATTTTCTATAGCTTTCTGGACCTTTTTTTGATATTTATATATAGTAGTGTGGCACAGAAGTGCTAATATTTACCAAAATAAAAGTTATATTTTTAATTAAAAATTAATTAAAAGGTTGTAGAATCTCAGGATGGAATGCAGACTGTTACAAATTTATCTAGCTCTATTATGAACCATACAAAATAACTTCAGTGAGGGACTTAAGGGAAAGGGTGCTAGTCAAAGTGATATTGAAAATGAGTGCAGTCTCTTAAGATGAAAGGCAAAAGAAACTTGTACGAAGGCACTTAATTTAGTTGATAAAGATGTTCTTCTACTAAGGGCAGGTTATCAATTCTGGTACAGCTATATACATATACTGGAAGTGAACAATTAACTAAATAGATGTCACAAAGTAAGAGTCAGGATTTTTATTGTTGGAGTGGGGGTTTAGAGATACAGGAAGGCATTGATGCTTGCGGGACTAGGTTAGAGGTAGTGACATCAGTAAGAACCCATGTTTAGCTTAATACAGACATAGATGGTGATATGGTTTACATTTTGTCCCCTCTCAAACCTCTCGTCCAATTGTAATCGCCAGTGTTGAAGGAGGGGTCTAGTGGGAGGGGATTGGATTATGGGGGCAGATTTCCTCCTTGCTGTTCTTGTGATAATGACTTAGTTCTCACACAATCTGGTTGTTTAAAAGTGTGTAGCATCTCCCCCTTAGTTCTCTTCCTCCTTCTCCAGCCATGTAAGATGTGCCTGCTTCCTCTTTGCCTTCTGCTATGACTGTACGTTTTCTGAGGCTTCCCCATCCTTGCTTCCTGTACAGCCTGTGCAACTGTGAGGCAATTAAAGCTCTTTTCTTTATAAATTACCTAGGATCAGGTAGTTCTTTATAACAATGGGATAATGGACTAATATAGATGTTTACATATAGAAATATTTAAAGATATGTGTAAGAATATACACATTGTTTCTTTGCTCTCTCATCTTAGAGAGCTATGAAAAAATTGATACTCCCTTAGCTACAGGCACAGCTAGCACTTAAATATTGATTTCATATATAGAAAGCAGGGCGTCTTTGAAAGTGGCTGATTCTAAGAATGGGGAAGAAAATACACAAGATGAGCCTGGGACATCCTCTAGTGCCAGAAATTATGAAAATACTAACAAAAATCTATTCGTGAGATATGTCAAACAAGCACAGGGGCCAAGTGAAAGGTCTTTCAATTTCTAGAATAATTTTAGCAACACAATACATTAATTGGTAGTATATTTGGATTATACCCAAAAATGTAATTTTCCTTAGTCCATATTGATATCAATAAATGACTGAATAAACAAATGAATGAGATAAAAGAGGTAAATCTCCTCTGCAAATAATTTACATATGTATTCCAACTAAAGGAAGTCAGCTCTTAAAGACATCTTAAGCAATACTGCAACTGAATTAGCTTTCCAAAGATACTGTCACAATTCATCTATTCCAAGACCTATACATTTCATATTTTAATATCTCCTGAAAATATAATGCATTTTACAATTCAGTGGTATGTCTTAGTTTAATTAGCCACAATGCGAATTACTTGCTTAACGGGACATAAAATAGTGCATTATACAATCTATGGGCTCTTGGACTCAAGAAAATACGATAGAAAGGAGTTTATGTTAGAGTCTGCGCACTGACTAAAGATCAGAGCAGAAAGCAGATTCTAGGAACAGTCACATTTGTGGCAGTCACTGGTCTCGGCATGCAACAAAATTCAAAGTAAATAGTGGTAAGGTGGGAAATGGACAAAGCTATGTAGCTAGAATCAGAAGTCTTTGAAATCAAAACATCAAGATTCAAACTATTTAGGGGCAGTGGGGCTGACGTGGTGACCGTGGGCCTGATCAGATAAAACCTTTACAAAGAAACAGTAGCTCTCAGACTCACCTCCTGAGACAGAGTTGTTCTGAGGGGAAAATGGGTAAGTTTCCACAGTAACATACAGTACTTAAACATACAGTAAGATACAGTACTTAAAGCCCTGACCTGTCCAGTTCCCAACACATCTTTCTTGATGGGCACCTAAATGTCACCTTTTGGTTTTATTTTTGTGTTTTTCTCATCTAAGCTCGGAGAGCAAAGCCTGACAGGGTGAGCCCCCAAAGTGTGTTCATGTCTTAAGAGTGTCCAGAAGCCACCTAGGGAGTGTGCAAGTTTTTCATTTTCATGCCAGGGACAATGTCTCTCTTTATTGAGCTAATGGCAAGGTATGGGCCTCAGAATATGTACAGTTTGAACATATTTGCATCTTCCCTTTAATTAACTGTGAAATCTGTGAGGCTAATGAGAAGAAAATTGATGGGTAGTCGGTGGAAGAATTTTTTTTTCATTGTCATATCTTCAACTTTCCTGGGGTATAATAAGAGATGCACAGTCAATTCAGTATACTTGAAATGTGTGATGTGGTCAAATTTGAGATAGATATATATATATATGTATATACTTTTGGAAATATCACTACATTCACAACCATCATTATGAAAAGTTTTCTTGTGCACCTCAGTAATCAGTCTCTCCCTCCATGCTGTCTCCAGGCAGCCATTTGATTTTCCATCAGGTAACATGAGTGAGAAGAAAATGTTTGTTGCAAGCTATTGAAATTTTGTGGTTGTTCACTTTTTAGAAACTCTTTGGAATTTTCTTTCTCATATCTTTATTAACATATAAAGTGTCTGTCTGGCATACTTTCAGATAATGTAAATAATATACTCAGCAATTGTTTTGTGCTGGGCTTCCATTTAATCTTTCAAGATCATATGGATTTTTATAGCTTTATATGTTGTGTTTGGCATCTTAAGCTCACTATCTACCTACTGACTCTTAAATCCCAAACTCTAAAGAGGTTCTGAAGATTCCAAACAATGGCTTGATAGCTTAAAGTAAAAAAAGCTCAGGATAACTCAAATTTTGTGACTTAGCATGCTTGAGAAAGTTTTTTTTTTTTTTTTTTGAGACAGAGTCTCACTCAGTCACCCTGGCTGGAGTGCAGTGGCGGGATCTCGGCTTACTGCAAACTCCGCCTCCCGGGTTCACGCCATTCTCCTGCCTCAGCCTCCCGAGTAGATGGGACTAAGGCGCCCGCCACCGTGCCCGGCTAATTTTTTTTTGTATTTTTTAGTAGAGACGGGGTTTCACCGTGTTACCCACGATGGTCTCGATCACCTGACCTCGTGATCTGCCCACCTTGGCCTCCCAAAGTGCTGGGATTACAGGCGTGAGCCACCTCGCCCGGCCTTGAGAAAGTGCATTTAAGCTCCTTCCTAAATGAATGATTATTTAGTCTTGCAGTGTCCATAATTTCTTTAGGTCACTTACGGAAGTCTCAAACTTGTCTGTAACACCTGATAATAACTTCCAGTACTATTCTAAAATGTAGATTTACTTTATCACATTTTCTTCTAACTTCTACTTGCCCCTGTTGTAACAATCTTCACTCTTCTTTTGTACTTATATTTTCTCCTTTTAAAACTCAATATCTAGGTCCTCTCTTATAATTGTGCTTAAAATTCATCCTGCAGTAGTGTCAGAGCAGGGTTTCTCAAAGTCATTGTGGGGAACTATCGTGTACATTGTAAGATGATTAGCAACATCCCTAGCCTCGACCACCAGATGCCAGTAGCACACCCTCTCTTTCACAGTTTTTTTTTTTTTTTAATCAGAAATATCTGCGCACATTGACAAATGTCCACCGGATGGGAAGAAGAATGTGGGGTGTAAAATTCCCATTTTTGAGACCCACTTGCTTAGAATGTATTAAAGACCTATAATTGAAAATACCTTGGCAAAATCTCCCAAAATTGTCTCTCAAAATAACAGTATATACAGTGTAACATACACAACATCCTGTTATACTAATGAAAAAATCTAAGAAAAACTCTATAGGATGATATTTAGATATTACAGTCACTATATTAACTATTAGGATAATGTGCCACTAATTCCCAATCGTCACTGCTTTCATGTAGTGCTTGCTCCATATTGTCTTAATGTTAATCCTTAACATACACAGCCTAACATATTTATTGATGTGAAAGTTTTTGTTTTATTTTCAACAACACGGTCTCAACCAGGGGTGATTTTCACTACCAGGGACAATTTGTCAATGTTTAGAGACAATTTTAGTTTTTACTGCTGTAGGTAGTGGAGTGTGCTATTCACATCCGGTAAGTTTAGGGCAGGAAAACTGGTAAACCTCCTATAACATGAGGCTAGAGCCCACAACAAAATTATCAGGTCCAAAAATGTCAATAGTATTGAAGGTGAGACAATTTCTAGGGAGATATTACACCTTGATATTCTCATTTAATATGCTGGTAATGTAATCCAGCATTTTTCCAAAAATGAGAATAGCCTGGTGGCCTTAAATGTCATTGTTTTACTCTTACTTACATTGGACTAAAGAATGAGATCAAATGCAGCTGAATAATTTGGATATTTAAAGCAATAACATTTTTCACTAACGCGCATAGGCTTAATGCCTGGGTGACAAAATAATCTGTATACCTATTTACCTATAGGTTTACCTATATAACAAACCTGCACATATACCCCTGAACTGAAAATAAAAGTTAATAAATAAAGTAATTACATTTGTTTAGAAATAAAATAAATTTAGAAATGGAAAATATTGTTGAAAATATTCTAAGAATTTTAAATTTATACATCAAAATAAAAATAATCTGAATATTATTACTAACAGAAAATCTTTGTCTTGATCTCAAATTCCAAGTAGAATACCTTTAGACTATCTCTAGCAATAGCTAACAGAATAAGATTTACAAATCTTGATAGATCATTTTTCATGCCTGTGTCATTTTAAAATGAATTGATGGCTGTTAAAACTTAATTTAGTTTGAGTCTCTTCCGGATCATATACATAGTTTTACAGACAGCCATGTTCAATGAAATTATAATATGTAACACAAGAAATATGCCAGATGTAAAGTAAGAATCTCTTTTAAACGCTCTGATATTCAAAACTCTTTATCAGATTTCCTAAACTAACGATTTTAAACAAAACCTGTTAGTTAAGAAAGCATTGGTCTCAATAGTAAATCTGCCAATATGAATTGCTGCATTTTATTTTTGAACTTTCTAAAGGCCATCTGCCAGAGTAATTAGATATAAAATCCTGCATGCAATCTAATATTAGATGAAAAGTTTAAACTACCAATGATACAATATTGATGCACAGAGGAATGAATTGATTTTTTATGTTATTCTCAAATTGAAAGTCAATCTTTTTATAAAATAAATTTATAAATAAATCCAAATATGATATTTTAGCTCACTTTTGACAGTAGGTTTTCAGTTTCTGATGTTAACAATGGCATAATTATGATTTGCTGAATGACTTTAAAGTGATCGGATAAGGAAACAATTAGGGTTTGCAGTAGCTGGAGAAAGAAAAAAAAGAAATATTTAGATATTGCATACTCAATATGGCACATACTACGTCATAGGCTTTAATATCAGTTGACTACTCTCTTTAGAAGGAGTACGGTTTGACCTAGACCAGTTTATTTATTCATTTTTGTAATAATTTTTCCTCATTCTCTTTGACACATTGGTTAACCTAAAATTACTGTGTTGCTTAGGACATTGACTAAAAATCGTAGTCTTTCAGTTTGTGGCTGCTCACAGGATTTTTTTTTTTTTTTTGCTTTGGCTTACTAAATAATCTTTTATTGGAGTTAAAACAACAAAGCTAGTAAAGATATATAAATCAATGCCAAAAAAAAGGAGACAGGCCTACTTATATGCCATTATCTTCTGTTATTGCCGTTGGATAGAAGACAGACATTATCATTTTTAATCAATTGTATACTTCATAAATATGATACAACAGATATTTTTACTTCCAAGATTATACATAGAGTTTTTATGATTCCTTTGTGAGTGTGAACTATATAGCTGTCCCTAAAACATAATTGAGAACAGAAAGGTTTTATTTTTAATTATATAATTTTCTTGCCCAAGTTATATGGATTCATAGGTTACAGAATGTATAACAATATACATTTTTTGCATTTTTAAATTTACTGTATAATTTATTTCTAAAACCAAATTTGATATACAACTATGTAAACCATTAAATATGATTTGGATTAAAATAATCTTAACAGACAAATCCAAAAACACTGCATTTTATTATTTCTATTTCTAATGTTACCTCCAGGTTTAGACTCCCCTAAGTAATTGACTCTACCTATTATGTTTGTGTTTTGAAACATCACTCTATATTGTAACAAAAAGAAAAATGACACAATTAGTTTCATATATGTACACAAAAATTTTCAGTTTTAAATAAGGAAATATAGTTTTGAAATTTAAAAAAGTAAATGTTATAATATTTTCTCAAATAATTTACTACTCATATTCCCATTGCTTAGTTTCATTAATTTTTACACTCACATTTTACATATCCAAGATATATTTCCAGCTTTATTTTCAGAATGAACTGCTAGGATCTTAGATGAGTTTATTATTTTGCACGAGGTGCCACTGCTTGACACCTGATTGTGTGTATACCCCCCTTTTTTTTTAATATACTTTTAAGTTTTAGGGTACATGTGCACAATGTGCAGGTTAGTTACATATGTATACATGTGCCATGCTGGTGTGCTGCACCCACTAACTCGTCATCTAGCATTAGGTATATCTCCGAGTGCTATCCCTCCCCCCTCCCCCCACCCCATAACAGTCCCCAGAGTGTGATGTTCCCCTTCCTGTGTCCATGTGTTCTCATTGTTCAATTCCCACCTATGAGTGAGAACATCCGGTGTTTGGTTTTTTGTCCTTGCGATAGTTTACTGAGAATGATGATTTCCAATTTCATCCATGTCCCTACAAAGGACATGAACTCATCATTTTTTATGGCTGCATAGTATTGCATGGTGTATATGTGCCACATTTTCTTAATCCAGTCTATCACTGTTGGACATTTGGATTGGTTCCAAGTCTTTGCTGCCCAAGGTAATTTATAGATCCAATGCCATCCCCATCAAGCTACCAATGACTTTCTTCACAGAATTGGAAATAACTACTTTAA
The DNA here is from genome assembly GCF_000001405.40 of Homo sapiens. Classification (NCBI taxonomy): domain Eukaryota; kingdom Metazoa; phylum Chordata; class Mammalia; order Primates; family Hominidae; genus Homo; species Homo sapiens. Next base: position 674,922 of record NW_003315917.2, read on the forward strand.
AGTTCGTATGGAACCAAAAAAGAGCCCGCGTTGCCAAGTCAATCCTAAGCCAAAAGAACAAAGCTGGAGGCATCACGCTACCTGACTTCAAACTATACTACAAGGCTACAGTAACCAAAACAGCACGGTACTGGTACCAAAACAGAGATATAGATCAATGGGACAGAACAGAGCCCTCAGAAATAACGCCGCATATCTACAACTATCTCATCTTTGACAAACCTGAGAAAAATAAGCAATGGGGAAAGGATTCCCTATTTAATAAATGGTGCTGGGAAAACTGGCTAGCCATATGGAGAAAGCTGAAACTGGATCCCTTCCTTACACCTTATACAAAAATTAATTCAAGATGGATTAAAGACTTACATGTTAGACCTAAAACCATAAAAACCCTAGAAGAAAACCTACGCATTACCATTCAGGACACAGGCGTGGGCAAGGACTTCATGTCTAAAACACCAAAAGCAATGGCAACAAAAGCCAAAATTGACAAATGGGATCTAATTCAACTAAAGAGCTTCTGCACAGCAAAAGAAACTACCATCACAGTGAACAGGCAACCTACAGAATGGGAGAAAATTTTCGCAACCTACTCATCTGACAAAGGGCTAATATCCAGAATCTACAATGAACTCAAACAAATTTACAAGAAAAAAACAAACAACCCCATCAAAAAGTGGGCGAAGGACATGAACAGACACTTCGCAAAAGAAGACATTTATGCAGCCAAAAAACACATGAAAAAATGCTCACCATCACTGGCCATCAGAGAAATGCAAATCAAAACCACGATGAGATACCATCTCACACCAGTTAGAATTGGCAATCATTAAAAAGTCAGGAAACAACAGGTGCTGGAGAGGATGTGGAGAAATAGGAACACTTTTATACTGTTGGTGGGACGGTAAACTAGTTCAACCATTGTCGAAGTCAGTGTGGCGATTCCTCAGGGATCTAGAACTAGAAATACCATTTGACCCAGCCATCCCATTACTAGGTATATACCCAAAGGATTATAAATCATGCTGCTATAAAGACACATGCACACGTATGTTTATTGCGGCACTATTCACAATACCCCATTCTTTAGACTTTTAAAATCAATACCCACTCTTCCCCACGAACAAGAGAAAGTAAAAACAACTAACAGTGGATTTCTGTATCACGATGACTCATTTTCAATAGAACACTACCATAGGTCAAATGGATGAATGCATAAATAATGAATGGATTAATATCTTTTACATAATCATGTGCCACATAACAACGTTTACATCAATAAGAGACAGCATGTAAAACAATGGCTCATTAAGATTATAATAGGGTTGAAAAATTGCTATCACCATTATAGATTGATCACTCTATGAAGTTTGCACAGTAAGATAATCACCTAGCCACACACTTCTCAGAACGTATCCTCATTGCTAAGTGACACAAGGCTGTATTTCATTTAATGATTGCGTAAATAGTTGTTGAGAAAAATCTGCACTCTAAGTACCAGGATAAAAGAGATTAATAATAAATTAATGATTAAATGCACCATGATCAATCTTATCATTGAGGTCTATATGCTACATTTGGATTACATCGTAAAGGCAGAGGTTAATCATCGCAACTTACACAACAGGATACAGAGTGGATCAGCAGATAATTACATAATAGAATACAGTTTGAAACCTGCAAGATGCATTAGAATTAATTAGAATCAAACCATATGTGTGACTTTGGTTTAAATGTGCAAAACCTATTAATATAGATATAGCCAGGACATTTCTATTGTGTGTGTGTGTATATATATATATATATATATATAGTGTGTGTATATATATATATACACACACACATATACATGTATATATACATACATACATATATATATTTTATATATATATATATATATATATATATATTTTGTGTGTGTGTGTGTGTGTGATGGAGTTTCGCTCTTGCTGCCCAGGCTGGAGTGCAATGGCATGGTTTCAGCTCACTGCAACCTCCGCTTCCAAGGTTCAAGCAATTCTCCTGCCTCAGCCTCCCAAGTGGCTGGAATTACAGGGGCCAACCACCACACCAGGCATATCTTTGTATTTTTAGTAGAAACTGCTTTCACCATGTTGGCCAGGCTGGTCTCGAACTCCTGACCTCAAGTGATCTACCCCCTCGGCCTCCCAAAGTGCTGGGATTACAGGTGTGAGTCACTGTACCCAGTTTGTCTTTATAAATCTTATAGAAATATTTAACTTTTAAAATCAACCACACACAATTAAGACTTTGATAAAAGTAATTAAGAAGTAAAGCAATGGAAAAAGCAATTTTTAAAAACATATATGAATGATTGAAAGCCAGGAGTAAAATTAAGAATTGTATTAAAATATCACTATTAAAATTAGCTACATAAATATTTAATTAATGCAGCTAAATTGTTAACAAAATTTACAGAAGTATGTTAACATTACTGAATCATCTTAAAATCTTATTAAAATTTAAAGTTCTTCTCAACTGAAATTATATCACAGAAAAAAATAATGTCACCTTAAAAAGTTTAGGATTAGAAATACATAATTATTTTTAAATATAGTCTTTATATATTAATTATATTTCATTAATGTCTTATTTCTTGAATAAACTTTTTTCATGATACTATTTAAGTGCCACATTCTACAATAATATGGAAAACAATTCTACAAAATGTGGCATACAGTAATTGATAGGTAGTATAGCACACCTTTTATCTCTTTATAGCAAAAACATAATGTGTAAATTAATATAACACTAAGTCCCATATTGTCATTTTTTGTCAAAGAGCTATCTCCTTGAAAACCATCATCCTCAGATGCATCTCTAACTTCAAAAAGACCTTAGAAACTGTAACAATTGTAAATGCGTTATAACTTAAAGAGATATTATCTTCACATTAGAGGCTAACAGGCTTATACCTACTGATAGCTGACAAGTATTATAGGAATCCTGGCAGGCAAATTGTTGCATAAAAATTATGTAATTTACTAACTGTAAAATAACCTTTAGAGTTTAGAATCAGTCAGATAAGTAGAACAGACAATTGTTATCAAAGCCATATAAATGGCTATTAAAATTATTTTTTGCTACCCTCATTTTATCTCTGAAGAGACATCTTGTTAAAAAATGAATAACAGACACATATAAATACCTAATTACAAGCAGAGTTAAGATTAAAATTCAGCCTCATTAGGGGTGGGATAGAAATCAGTACACTAAAGAATATTTTGGTGCAGGTAGTTTGTTTCAAATGATTCAACCTTCAACATTACTTCACTTAAATTTTAGCAAACTTTCTGCTATAATTTAAGCATACAGACCTATGACACTAGACATATGTCCTGTGTAAGCCTGGGCTAGGGGAGCTCTATTTAATACTTACATAAACCCCAAAGATGTCCTAAGAAATAAAATTTGGAAAAACTTTGATGTGCTACAGCACGGATTTTCTCCTACAGCAACAGAGCAGACACTTGAATGTAGTTATACTCCTGCTTTCCACCTCCCTGTCAAAACAATAAAAAAGGCCACAGGCCTGTGGTTCTGGCCTCCAGGGAACTGGTGGCTTCTTTAACCCACACTGCTGCTGCTGAATCCCATTTAGGTTTAGGGTTTATTTTGTATATGCCTTTGTACAGGCTAAATGCTGGTCTAGTTGAAAATCAACCTAAAACAACCTTAATAGCATCTCATTTTATTGTGACTTTACTTTTTGTGTTGTTTGGTGTTTTACTTTTGGAGACAGAGTCTTAATCTGTCACCAAGGCTGGAGTGCAGTGGCATGATTATGGCTCAACCTCCAGGCTCAAGTGACCCTCCCACTTCAGCCACCTGAGTAGCTGATACCACAGGAACATGCCACCACATAAGGCTAACTTAAAGAACATTTTTTTAGATGGGATCTCACTATGTTGCCCAGGCTGATCTTGAGCTCTTTGCCCCAAGCAATCCTCCCACCTTGGCCTCCCAAAGTGCAGGGATTATAGGTGTGAGCCACTATGCCAGGCCTCTCTCATGACTTTAAACTTGAACATGCTTTTGTGCTGTGGCCGAGTTTAGGATCCCAACCAGCCTGTGATTACTGTGGTCACCACACAGATTCCCTCTTGTTCCATCTTTTATATTCCATCTTCTCACTCTCATAACTGTGTGGATAGGAAAACAATTATCCATACAGGTATGATATTGGCAGAGAAAATCACAAAATGTTTTAATGAGCAAACACTTTGGGGATGGTAATAATCTTTCTACCACCTTCATTGTCTTGTTTAAGTATCTCTACATTCTTCTTTAAAAATTAGGAATATATCTTTCTTGCTCTTTCGTTGTTGTTGAACACCAGAAGGGGATATTCCTTAATTCTCTCTCCATAGCTAAGGACAGTACAGCACAATATTCCATTCAGCAGGTGAAGTCAGTATGAATGAATGCATTTCAATCAGCAAATTGCTGGTTGTGTTGCAACTCCTAGTTATGATGTTTTGTGTACTTTGAAGGGCTCCCATTAATTAAGGTATTTCTTATAAGCATTCAGAAAGTTTCTTTTCTTGGCATGCGACTTGAAAATTTGTCCTGATATTTTCCCTGTGACAATGTTTTGTGAATTGTAACTCAGCCACTTAAGTGGCTCCTCATAATAAAGCCACATGGTATCCATGTACACATATTTAACAAATCAAAGAAGTGGTTCTCAACCTAATCTCTAGAGGAGGTCCTTCTTGTTCACTTTCAATAACTATGTTGAAGAATAGATTCTAAAAAGCTATCACCAAATTTTCGAATATGTTTTGAAATTTGTGTCCACAAAATCTATAAATCAATAAATGTATACAATAGAGCATAATAATCCAATTAACAAATTTAAGATGTCATCTAAGCAGGAATGAATGCAATAAATAGGCCTTCTTACTTCAAAATCAACTGCAGAGGTAATGCATTGCCACTAGACTTGTGTGCTGTGTTGGTAATAAATTAACAAAAACTTTGGGGATAAGAAAAATCTGCAAATAAAATGGTGTGTCATTTGTGAAATATAATCACAAAAATGTTCAGATTGTTATAATTAACAGAAAAACTATTGTTTTTATTATATCCAGTGTTTAACAGACACTATTCATGTATACATACAACATTCTTATAATAACTCTTGTGTCCATGTAAATAGCAGTCTTGCCAAAAAGAATTGATTATCATGTAGTAGTTTGTAAGTATTTTCATGCATAGGCTGCAACCCTTTAGAGTGCTATTCTAATAAATTATTAATATTAACTTGATGAACACAATTCTAAGACATTTCATTTGAGGATATGTTTATTAACTATTAGGTTGGTACAAAAGGCATTGCGTTTTTTGCCATTACTTTCAATAAAAAATAGAACCAGCATTTAGAAATCTACTTTCAGAAACTTAATAAAATGAGAATTTGTCCTCTTTTACATATAGGAAGCCTGCATAATAAGCATTCTGTTGCTAGTACATAAGCTTCCCATTTTCATCAGGAAACTATACACTTACATTTCACTTTTACTAACTTCAATGCATGACTTCTACCTTCAAGGTGATTTCATGCTTCTAGCCACCATGTCTGTACTCCAGGACAGCAGCACAAAGTGTAGAAAAATAAAAAAGACATACCTCCCTAATGAGTCAACTGCACTTAAGGAGCCATCCCAGAAGTTTCACACGGCTTATTTGAATACAGCTATATCCAGATGCAAGGAATGCTGGGAAATGTGGTATTGTGCGCAGCTAAAGTTGGGATTATGTTAGTGAAAATGAGACCACGAACATTGGAAGGTTAAAAGCAATCTCTCATGACATATACAATTACAGAAATTAAATTAAATCTTTAAGCAATGTGATAAACCTATGGAATGTTAACAGGCAAAAATAGCAACATTAAAAATTACAGTGAGGGAATAAGGTATGATTCGTTTGTAGATGGTTTGTGTGTCATTAATCTAGGCAAAAAGTCATAAACTCCTCTAACAGTGACCACATGTATAAAAGAAATAATAATACACACTATGGCTAACAACATTCCATTTTGGCCTATTTACTGTTGTTAAGTCTCTATGGTTAGCATCAGAAATGTACAGTTTTGATAGCCTATGACCTCAACATGTTCAGTTTGATAGTAGAAAGGACAACATAAAGACAAACCAATCAACAAATAAGAATAAAAACTGTTAAAAAAAGGACAATATTATCATAAGAACATAAGGATGTGATAATGTATTTGACATATCGTTTATTTATTGTTTTATAGTTGGATAATACATATAAATTTACTGCTCCTTCAATGTTAGAATCAATAGAATCATAGCAGAAGTAATTAAGCAGATAAAGATCAAAACGTCACCTTTATTACTTACTGTTTGAAAAATAGTCTAAGGCTGGTTTTACAGGGTTGCTCCTATCCATCACCTGATGTGAAGTTTCTTAGGAAGCTTCAGGACTACACCAAAGAAGCAGAACCTGCTCTTTCACTCTGTTGCATTGTGTGGAGTGCAGGCCATCATGACTGCTCTCTACAAGAAAAAGAAAGGAAATAATTAAGAAACGCACAAAAGTTTGTGAATTGAGAATCCCAAAATAGGTATGAAATTGGTTAGCTTTCTAAATTCACCAATCTCATAACTAACACCTGTCCCCATGCAGTGAATGAGTAAAGGATGGACAGACTCCATAATGATTATTCTAGGGAAAGCCTTCTGAGTAGAAAGAGGAGAGTTTTGCAAACAGTTTTGTAGAGTTTACTCTTGTTTATGCACTGATAATAAATAAGAGTTCCTAAAATTCTCTCTAGAACTCTAGGTAAATGAGATATTTCACTGCTCATGCTGTGTGACCTTCATGTCCCATCTGCCTAGACTGTAAATATGCTTTCTGAAGTTTAAAAGAATTAGTATACTATGCTTACATTAAGCAAAAAAGTACCCTTATTATGCAGGATCAAGTAACACTCTAAAGATTCATGTTTATGAAAAAACACTGATGATTCTATTTTATTATGTGTCTTCTAAAGAGAAAAATACTTGTGCTCTGCAGCATAATTTTACAATGTGCTATTCTAAATACTTTCATTTAAACAAGACCATTATGAAAATGTTTTGCACACAGAAATATATTTTGAATACTTTTTTAAAAAGATCACAAAGTATATGGTCTCTGTACGTGTTCAATTATTTTAATGCTTTCACTATAACAGGAATTCTTAAAGAGGATATGTACTTGCATAATGCTGATAATTCTTTCTCATTTCTGTTTGTGCTTTGGCTGTTGTTACAACCACTGAAAGTAGTAATTACATGAGTGTATTATCCATGATTATCTTTAGATATATGTGCATTTTCTTTAATTAAACTATAAACTCTAAATGAAAAATAAAAAAGAAGTCACCTCTTGTCTCTTTGTACAATATTAAAATTTTTTTCTTGTATCCAGAGTTTCCCAAATGCCTGTTGCAAAATTTTACTTAGGGAGTAGAAAGTGGAGAATCAATATGGTAAAAAAAACTGTGTTACAGGGAAGGAGACACAGGGTAAGCATTTTCCTTATCTTCTCTCCTGTATCTACGTGCTGCACAAGCATAAATGATAGCAGTCACATGAACGAGTACTTTTCAAGAACGTAGAATATGGTGATGGAAAAAAAAAACCGCTTTGAAACATCGAATAATATAAAAGCCAGAACTACTACAACTATTTTTTACATCCATAGAAGGTAAACTATTTTTAGATATAAAATTCCTTCTGACGGTAGTCCTGATCATTTAACCAATATTTTGATAAATCAAAGAAGGGAAAAATGGACATTCAGTCCAAAGATGGGCATGTATTCCCATGCCCAGTCAGGCAAAATTGTGGATGTTCTTTAAAATAACAATTCATTCAACAAATAATTTTTAAATGGCTACTGAATACCTGGAAAGGTTCTAGACACAGGGGCTATAGTAAGAAACAAGAAGGAACTAATTGACAAGAATGTGCTCACCGACAATGAAACATCTCCTCATGGAGCTTGAGTTCTGTTTGAAAAGACAGAGAACAAAAAAATATTATTGCACAGAGTGTTAGTTATGTGTGAATTAAAAGACTGGTCAGTACTTGAAGGAGAAGGAGTGACAACAAATCTCACTTCCAGTTCTATTTACCTGAACAGATTAATTCTATTTTGTTTCAATGCAACAGTAGTCCTACGGTTAACAAGATGCACTACACAAAGCAAACAACTTATAAAACGCATTTTTTCCTTATATTGCAAATCAATTTTAAGTGGATCTACAAATATACAATAAATAATATAAATTACGGATCGTTTGTTTCTAAGGTAATAAGTACATTTGTTAATTTCACATAAATAATTTCAGAAGGAGAGCAAATGTAAAAATGTGTTTTAGACAGTGGAGATGCCATTTTATTGTAAGACTATTTATACTCAAAGGACAAAGTAATCAGCTTTCTATGTCAATGATCGTCCTTCTCTATTTCACCCAGTTCCAGACAAACCCAAGTCTTCCAAGTCTCTTCATATATCTGATCCAATAAAATCTATAATGAGTTCAGTTAGCATACACACACACACACACACACCACACACACACAAGCACACAAACACACACACATGACTGCATTGAAATACTTGCTCTAGGGAAGGAACATAGTGTATATGCAACTTGTGTACTTTCTAAGTATGGGAAGACTAATCCTTTAACAACTGCATTTACTTTCTTTCACTTCTATCGTTGCTATCTACTCCTCAGAAATCTACTTAAACAACCAATAAATATATATGATGTTGTTATGAGAGTTTTGGAAATAATTCCTAAAAATTTGCATGGTTGCCTCTTTATATTTGGCAGCTTCTATCACCCATGGGAACAACCCCTACAGAATGATCAGAATATAAAGCATGTGAGCCCTGGGTTTCTCAGGCACTGGAAGGACCTGTCAGAATCCTCTCAGGTGGGTCAAAATGGCCAGGCTTTATAACCTCATCTCCATTCGTGTTTGCATGTCCAGTGCTCCAGGATGCCCTAACATTGAGCCAGACAATGGTTACAGCTGAGGCAAACTTTGAAGGAGCTGAGAGCTGAAGGCTGCTTTGTAATATTGCTCCTAGCAGCCAAGGGGGAAAGAAATCTTTTCTTGAAGAGCGATCTGTGTCCATAGCAAAATGTTTTTTTCTTAGCTCTTGTAAAATCGAAATTGTTTGCTTTTGAATTTTTTTAAATGATTCCTTTAAGATTCTTAATACCAAGATATCACAAGGTCAAGGAATTTTATAAAGAAGTATTTCTATTTATGTAATTTCCTAAATTTATCTATACACAAATCAGCACTAAAACATGCCTTTGATACTAACAACTTGATCGGTTTGTGAACCAAATCTGTCATGCAAATACATACGGCTGTTTTTAGATAAATTCTAAAGGTATTACCAAATCATTTAATTTTATTGTGTATCTCAATATTCTGGTTGATGTATAAGTTTAAATAGAACAAACTATTTGACATTGAAATGTTCTTTATCAAAGGAGAAGGAATACAATTTTAAAGCCACAACGAGTGACACATAGTTCTGAATGATTTATTGGCTGTCTGCCATTCTGAAATGGCTGCCAGTCAATGTTACATGTGACATCTTTCAGATAGTGTGAACTCTTTTATGCAAGCACCTTTCACTATAAAATTACAGCTGGAGATCATGAAGAGAAAAGTGTGGTGTTTATCTTAATGGGCTGAAAGACCTATTTCAACAGTTACAGTAATTCAGAAAAATAGTCTGAAGTCTAGTATTTCAATAATGTTATTTTCATAGATTTTAATCTCTAAAGACAATGCTTCACTTTTGTAGAAAATGACTTTTCTAATCATCCTGGATTTCAAAATTCTTTCCATTACTTAATATTTAAATCACTGGCAGAACTTGGCATGAGGACTAGAGAGCTGTCACCAAGCAGCCAGTCATTTTTCTTGGCTTCCCATATGCCATGCCCAGCAATAGAGCATTTCTTAGTAGCTGAGGAATAGCAGCAGTGCTAAACACAGAGATGACATTAACAGGAATGAGAGGGTCCAAGCTGTTTTCCTAGACTAATTCTCATTCAGCCTGAATTCAAAGCATTTTCCTATCATTATCATAGATATTTCGCTTGTGGTATTATCTATCTTTTGGCAATGTTGATTTTTTTCTGATTATCCAAATAAGTAATGTTAATGGAAAAAATCAGATATTAGGGGAAAAAAAACTCTAGAAATAAATGTTAACCCAAGACAATAACAATTCAATTAATTTATATGATACCTTAGGGATTGTGTCAATTATTTTTTAAATGAAACTCAAAAAATTCAACACCTGTGTTTTCTCCTACGATTACAAATTCAACTAGGGCACAATTGTAAATGGTTGTATTTGGTTGAATTTTTAGATTGTTTATAAGTTTTACTCTTGCAGACAATAATAATGGAGTTTCTTTGAAAATAAATTTAGTTGTTCTATAACCAAGGCATAAATATTCAATTCAATAAAATTAGCAAAAATATTAAATGAAAAGTATATTATATATAAAATGCATAAATAAAATATCCTGCACTGATCATTTTATGTCTATGGTTACCCTATTGATTCTGTGCACATTTGCATATGGGTATATATGCAATTTTATACAATGAAGTATTAATAGTGTACATAAATTTAGTAATTATTTTACCCCTTAAAAGTATATGCAATGAGTGTCACTTATATATAAATTCTGTTAACGTGGAAGAAGAATGTTAGTCAAAAAAACTACGAATTTAACAATTTTCTGGTTAATTCAAAGGGCTTTCCAAAAATGTCTTTTAAAATTCAATTTCATTTATTTTCTCATAGCAGAATATGAGAATGAATCTTTTTTGCTGCAAATTGCCTAGCAATAAATTTTTATTTTTATTATTTTAATTCTGTGAATTTCGGGAATGGAGTCTCATTCAGTATAAATATTATAATACTAATGAGATTGACTCCCTCCTTCTTATTAACAGTGTGCATTTTTACCCTCCGTGATTCAGTGCATGGTGTAGTGCTATAATTAAAAATGAACATTTTTTTTTAAATTTTATTATTATTATATTTCAAGTTTTAAGGTACATGTGCACAATGTGCAGGTTAGTTACATATGTATACATGTGCCATGCTGGTGTGCTGCACCCATTAACTCGTCATTTAGCATTAGATATATCTCCTAATGCTTTCCCTCCCCCCTTCCCCCACCCCACAACAGTCCCCAGCGTGTGGTGTTCCCCTTCCTGTGTCCATGTGTTCTCATTGTTCAATTCCCACCTATGAGTGAGAACATGCAGTCTTAGGGTTTTTGTCCTTGTGATAGTTTACTGAGAATGATGATTTCCAATTTCATCCATGTCCCTACAAAGGACATGAACTCATCATTTTTTATGGCTGCACAGTATTCCATGGTGTATATGTGCCACATTTTCTTAATCCAGTCTATCACTGTTGGACATTTGGGTTGGTTCCAAGTCTTTGCTATTGTGAATAGTGCCGCAATAAACATACGTGTGCATGTGTCTTTATAGCAGCATGATTTATAGTCCTTTGGGTATATACCCAGTAATGGGATGGCTGGGTCAAATGGTATTTCTAGTTCTAGATCCCTGAGGAATCGCCACACTGACTTCCACAATGGTTGAACTCGTTTACAGTCCCACCAACAGTGGAAAAGTGTTCCTATTTCTCCACATCTTCTGCAGCACCTGTTGTTTCCTGACGTTTTAATGATTGCCATTCTAACTGGTGTGAGATGGTATCTCACTGTGGTTTTGATTTGTCCTCTCTCACCACTCCTATTCAACATAGTGTTGGAAGTTCTGGCCAGGGCAATTAGGCAGGAGAAGGAAAGAAAGGGTATTCAATTAGGAAAAGAGGAAGTCAAATTGTCCCTGCTTGCAGATGACACGATTGTATATCTAGAAAACCCCATTGTCTCAGCCCAAAATCTCCTTAAGCTGATGAGCAACTTCAGCAAAGTCTCAGGTTACAAAATCAATGTACAAAAATCACACGCATTTGTATACACCAATAACAGACAGTCAGAGAGCCAAATCATGAGTGAACTCCCATTCACAATTGCTTCAAAGAGAATAAAATACCTAGGAATCCAACTTACAAGGGATGGGAAGGACCTCTTCAAGAAGAACTACAAACCACTGCTCAATGAAATAAAAGAGGATACAAAGAAATAGAAGAACATTCCATGCTCATGGGTAGGAAGAATCAATATCGTGAAAATGGCCATACTGCCCAAGGTAATTTATAGATTCAATGCCATCCCCATCAAGCTACCAATGACTTTCTTCACAGAATTGGAAATAACTACTTTAAAGTTCGTATGGAACCAAAAAAGAGCCCGCGTTGCCAAGTCAATCCTAAGCCAAAAGAACAAAGCTGGAGGCATCACGCTACCTGACTTCAAACTATACTACAAGGCTACAGTAACCAAAACAGCACGGTACTGGTACCAAAACAGAGATATAGATCAATGGAACAGAACAGAGCCCTCAGAAATAACGCCGCATATCTACAACTATCTCATCTTTGACAAACCTGAGAAAAATAAGCAATGGGGAAAGGATTCCCTATTTAATAAATGGTGCTGGGAAAACTGGCTAGCCATATGGAGAAAGCTGAAACTGGATCCCTTCCTTACACCTTATACAAAAATTAATTCAAGATGGATTAAAGACTTAAACGTTAGACCTAAAACCATAAAAACCCTAGAAGAAAACCTAGGCATTACCATTCAGGACACAGGCGTGGGCAAGGACTTCATGTCTAAAACACCAAAAGCAATGGCAACAAAAGCCAAAATTGACAAATGGGATCTAATTAAACTAAAGAGCTTCTGCACAGCAAAAGAAACTACCATCACAGTGAACAGGCAGCCTACAGAATGGGAGAAAATTTTCACAATCTACTCATCTGACAAAGGGCTAATATCCAGAATCTACAATGAACTCAAACAAATTTACAAGAAAAAAACAAACAACCCCATCAAAAAGTGGGCGAAGGACATGAACAGACACTTCTCAAAAGAAGATATTTATGCAGCCAAAAAACACATGAAGAAATGCTCACCATCACTGGCCATCAGAGAAAAATGAACATTTCAAAGATGTGCTTCCAAATGCCAAATCATCACTAAAAAGCTCTGTGGCATAGAGGAAATTTCACAACCTTTTAGTGCCTCAATTTTGTGGAAGAATGGTTAGGAGGCTATTGCAATAACAAAAGAAAATTTGAATAGCTGTATCCAACATGAAAAGATTGCTAGTAGAATTAAATGAGTTACTATAGGTAAAACAATCAGGGAAGTAATTAAAGAGAATCTGCACTAACATTGTTTTATTAATTTAAAATATCTGTACACAATCCTTTGACTCATTTGGAATTAGTTTTAGTGTATTTTAGAAAATAAGGTTTATTTTTTATTTTCTCCCAAAACAATTCTTCAAGACAACTTTTCGAACAGTAAATTCCTTCTTTGTTTATAATATGTATTTTAATAAAGTCACTTATCTTCATGATTTCTAGGACATCGGTTCTATCTAATCTATTGTTCAGCATTCGTCTGAGTATTTTCTGAGCAGCAATTAACCCCTCTGTACCTCTGAGTGCCCACATTTCCTTGATCCATTTCACCTTGCTGATCAATCCTTCTTTACTCATAGTCTAAATTTTTTTTTTAGAACTTCTGAGAGTGCCCCAAACCTTGGTCTTGGGTCTTCCTTCAATCTTATTTGTCTTTCCACCTGATCTTAATTATTTACATCACATTATACCCTATCTTTATGGTGACAAATCTCAAAATTATCTCTCTGACCTAAACTTATCATTAAAGATTTGGTTGCAACTTATTAAGAAGTCAGGTTCAATGTAATACATGCATTGTTGATTTAATAAGCTCATCAAAATACTTAAAATTTTATTTGAATGCAAAAAAATAAAGCTTTTAATTTTATCTCCTATTTAATAATTTTGACAAAAACATTATACCAATCATTACTAATTATTGCTGGCTTTTAAAATATTATCTGATTAAATATTTTTGACTTGGAAAAATGGTAACAAATGCTTCTCTCTTTCTTGTCCCCTTGAACCATACTTGATATTGCTTTTTCCAAATCCGGGCCACAAGTTCAGAATATAACCTGTTAAAATATCTTCTGTGTATAAACTATCTTTAAATTTTCTTGAGAGAATACTGAGTAACCAAAAGCATTGCTCCTTCACCCTACAAAAGAGAGAAAAATTAAAAAATCACATTAATTTGTAATTTTAAATGGTAATTAAAGCTATTGTGAGGGCTCTTTTATCGGCCAAACTTGTGAACAAAAAACAGCTCAAATTTATGTGTAAATAAAATATATTGAGATGAAGCCTTTCATTCAATGTGTGATTTTCAGTTCAAAAAAACACACTGATGTTCAAGAACAAAGACTGGTACAATAACTATCTACAAAATGCTTTTGTTACTAGATTTTAATTCCTTCATCAAACAGACACAGTCAAAGTTGATAGTGTCACTAGATCTAGAGGTCTATCAATATCCTTCCCACCATTTAATATGTTCTTAATCTCAGGGAAATTCTAAATCATATTCTTCTAAACTGTACAGTTGACTCCTGAAAAACACAAGGTTTAGGGCCATCAAACCTCCCTAACCCCTCCCCACCACCCCAGCACAGTCAAAAATTCACATATAACTTTGGACTCCCCAAAACTAAACTAACAGCCTACTGTTGACTGGACAATCCTTAACACATATTTCATACGCTGTATGTATTTTACACCGTAGTTTTACAATGAAGCTAGTTACAGAAAAGAAAGTGTTATTAAGAAAATTATAGGGAAGAAAAAATACGTTTACAGTACTACAGTATATTTATTTCTCTCATAAGTTTACAATCCTGTGTTTACAAGATGGATCCTTCTTCTGAAATGGCAGCACACACAGCTGCAGACCTCAATCTAGGGTACCTATCAAGCAATTCATTGTTTTCCTGTAATGTCAGGACCCTTCTCTGTTTCCTGGAAGAACTTTCAGCATCACTAGCAGCACTTTTTATAGGTCTGAAGGTGTTATTCAAGGTTTATGGTATTGCACTAGACATCATGAATAATACAGGAGAAACATGAGAGAACACTTTTTACTGTGTTAATTTACTGGAGAGACAAGCTACTCACAAGAAGATGATTAGCATTATGTGGCATTTTAAGTGAATACTCACAACACTTGAGTTCACTGCAAGAACAACAGGTGGAGGCTAGGAAATTATCCCAGTAGTACAGTATGTACTACAGTTAATTTTGTGCAGTTATGATTTACTTTTGTATATTTTTGTTTTACTTTTCTCTAAACTTCAATTGGCTGCATGTATGCTCTGTGTTTGCCTACGTCTTGATAAATTTTAACTTTTTATAATAGACGCATATATATTTCATTGTATTAAATGATCACTAGTATCTACATATGATTTATGCATTCATGACATCGTTTTCTTAGTTTTTTAATATTTCTTGTGTAGATGGGTCACCTGTTATCTTTTTCAATTTTTCATAAATCTCCAAAAATTTTCTAATATATTTATAGGAAAAAATCTACATATGAGCAGACCTGCACAGTTCAAACCTGTGTTGTTGAGGAGTCAACTATATATTATAATTTAAGAGAGGATTCAACTCTTTCATTCTACTGGCAATGGGTTAACATAAACTTTAGTCAGAACTGCTGAGCTTTTCTGGCACAATGAGGACAAATTGACCAATGTATTTAACCAATAGCTGGGGGAAAATTTTGCTAAAATTGGTAAGTATATCTTTATATAACTATATCCTTACAACTTGTCTCCACCTTCGTCAGATTAATCCTAACAAAACTGTAAAATGTCTCAGTAAAAATCTAAATGAATTTTTCATAACAAGTGCTGGCAATAGATTTTAAATATGTTCTGATCATTATTTGTCTCTTGTTGGCATGGAGAAAATCCTTTTTTTTTTTTTCAGCCTGGGGAATCCCAAACTATATCTCTAGTAACAAGGAAACCATTTTACCGGAATTTTTATTAACATGGAAAAGTTCTGTCAATTAATCAGACTTCACTGTCCATATCACTTTCAACCTTTTGGGAAGGTAGAAAGATGGAATTCTGAAACTAAAGTTGGTAAAGTTCACAGAGATCGTCAAACTTGCATGGTCTAAGGTATTTCTTCTTTCTGTGGTTCATGAGTTAGTAACAGCTAAACCAAGTGTCTAGGAATATTAGCTCTGATTCTAGAAATCTACACTTATTTAACTAAATGCTGTAAGGACTCAGGAAATCCATTCTTTCAACAAAAGTTACTGAAGACTTTCCCCATTAGTATCCTAAACAATGTCTGCAAAATTGGTTTTCATACCTGGATACCTTGTCTTCTAAGAGACACGGCAGGGAAAGATCATAGGAAAAAAGTCACTATCAGGCACAGCTAACAACTAGCAAACCCATAGTCTTTAAAAGACTGATCCTTTGATTCCTATCTCTCAAGTAAAGAGGTTTAGGTCATCTTCATATTACAGGAAAGTATCCCTACCAAAAACTTCTAACTAACGACTCTTAGGATTCTTCCAAAAGCAAATAGTCTTTGGGAGAAGACAGCTTCCATCAAATGCCTTTGGATCAAGTGAATCACTATATGAGATATCGGTATCTGCAAACCAAGATCCACAAAAAAAGATCCATTGTTTGTCATATTTAATCTGTATATCTTGAGTTTTCATTTTCCTAGTTAACTTTATCTTTTTATGCTTAAGGTTACATTTAATTACTTTACCTATAAAGCTACTATTCCTAATTCCTCTATGCCGTCCTTAGTCACTCTCTAGAAGAGTCCGGAAGCTGGCCGTAATTTGTTCACAATTTGGCTAAACATGCAGTTGAATCAGTGCTAAGCTGCACACATTTTCCTTAGGATGCCAATTAGAGTTTTTTTTTTTTAACATCGATTCCTAAATATGAAACATCTGGGTTTATCAATAATTGGACTCACTATTTATTGTTATTTTATCTGACAAACAGCAGAGTATTAGATAAATAGAAATCTTAAATCCTAACATGCTGCACCCAGGAAAGAAAGCTTATGCCTACAGCAGAACAGCACTTAGGGATCTTTAATAGAATGCAACTTCTGTCACTAAACCTTTAGAAAGAAATGTCTTAAAAAGAAGAGAACAAATGGCACATACTTAATTCATTTCTCACATTTACATATCATAAAAAATTCTTATTACATATTCAAGCTCCTATCACATCTACCTCTTCCTCTATGTGATAAGGTCTTCATTTTATATCCCCAAAAGTGATTAATAGCAGAATGGAGCTGAAAGCAATCAATAAACTCAATCAACCTTAATGACTGCTACTGGATTTGTGGTACCAGAACCTATTGATTATTACAGCAATCTTGACATAAACTAACATACTGATGTGGTAGTCAGAATAATGGCTCTTCAGAGATGATGCGGTCTTAATCCAGATAATTTATAAATTTGTTAGCTTACCTGGCAGGACAGACTTTGCAAATGCAATTAGAGTTAAGGATTTTGAAATGGAGAGACTATCATAGATTTTTAGATGGCCAAATGCAATCATAAGATTCTTTACACGTAGAAGAGGGAGATATAAAAGGAGAATGTGAAGACTTGCTCCTTCATTTGTAGCTTTGAAGGTCAAGGAAAGGAACTGTTATGAACTGAATATTTGTGTCTCCCTAAAATTAATCTATTGAAGATGATTGGCATTGTTCAAATATTCATAGATTATTTTCAATGATCTATTAATTGGCAGTGTGATAGTATCTGGAGATGGAGCTTTTGGGAGGAACCTAGGTTGAGATAATGTCCTAAGTGTGGTGTTCTCATGATAATGTTAGTGTTCTTATAAGAAAAGGTGGAGATACTAGACCACCTCCCACCCAACCACCCTTCTCTTTCTCTCTCCGTAAACATGTATCCAGGAAAGGCCATGTGAACACAGAGAGAAGGAGGCCATCTACTAACCAGAGAGGGAGTGGGCCCTCACCACGAACCAAATATACCAGCACCTTAATCTTGGACTTCCCAACTTTCAGAACTCTGAGAAATAAATGTCAGTTGTTTAAGTCACCCGGTCTATGGTATTTTCTTACAGTATTCCAAGCTGCCCAAGACAGGGAACATGCATCAAAGAATGCAGCTGGATTCTAAAGCCTGGGAAAGGCCAGGTCATGGATTATTCCACAGAGCCTATAGAAGGAATGCAGTCTTCCAATGCTTTGATTTTAAATCAGTAAGACCTGTGTTGAACTTCTAACCTGGAATACTGCTAGACAATAAATTTATGTTGTTTTAAACTACTAAGTGTATTGTGATTTTTATAACAGCCACAGGAAAATAATACATTTGGCAAATCAGTGCATGTTTCATGATGGTCAATGATATGCCCCAGGGTCCATCTTAGCCATGATTTCTATCCCTTCAAAAACCAAAACAAAATAAAAAAGTAAAACAAAAAGACCAATTTTACTATACTACTTGATTTTTAACAATATTTTATATGTATTTAATCCAGTATATCCAAAATATTGTCATCTCAGCATAAAACAATATTAAAATTATTCAGTTTTACATTTTTTAAACTAAATCTAGTTTGTATTTTACATATAGCATAAATCAATTCAAATCCACCATATTTCAAGTGTTCAATATCTACATGTCACTAGTAATGACTATAGTGGACAGAATTGATCCAGATTTCCAGGTGTATTGCTATAAAACTAACCATATTTTTATCTTATTAAAACAAAACAAAACTCCTCCATAACTATGTCTATGTTCCTTTTGCTTTTATTAACATTGAACATATTCTTGTTTTTAATCTAATTTTGTCTGTATTTAGGTCTATTTTTTGGTGGTGTTATTTCTTGTATGCTTGGCATCAACTTTTTTTTCAATTTCTTAGACTATCTAAACTATTATGCTCTGAGTTTAGCTCAATTTCAATCAGCTACTCACTTTGAAAGACTCATTTAACTCTCTTAAGCCATTCTCCACAAACATGAAAAATCTTCCTCTCACTCTTCCCTGCTGAAACACTGCAAAAGTATGTCAAAATGGTGTACTTTCTTGGCACAGGGTTTCAATAAACTTAGTTTTGCTTTAATAACAAATTATCTGAATATATTTCAGGGAGTTCCACTGGTAAAAGCATAAAATCATGTTAGTTCAGGTCATCTTTTGTAAAGTTATGACAGTGCCATAGTATCAATTCTTGTCAAAATTTATGACTTCAAAATCAACTTAATATGCATCAACATAGATATTTTTTAGTTAATTCTAGACTCCAGGTGCTCATTTAAATAATATGGGTACATAAGACTGAACAAAACCAGTTGCTATTGAATGTACATTTTAGAGAAATACTTCATACACAGCTGTGTTTTGTTAAATAAGGAACTTGATGACATAATCAATATCACGGCAGCATACAACTGTTTGGTTAGTATGTCTCTTTAAACAAGCACATATGCTCATTCATGGAGTGTGTATTTGTATCTGTGTATGGTCTGTGTGGTGAAGCAGCAAGCAACAGTTGGATGTCTTAATTATCTAACAGGAAAAAACACCTAAATAATCAGAAGAAATTTTGATTTATTTATTAGTTCGACTGAGCTTTTCTCTTGAATGTAACACAGATGGTCCCAGATTTACAATGGTACAACTTTACAGCTTTATCATGGTACAAAAGTGATAAACATTCAGTAGAAACAATGCTTTTATTACCCATATACCCATTCCGTTTTTCACATTCAGTATTTAATAATTTACATGTGATATTCAACACTTTATTTAAAAATAGGCTTTAGGTTAGATTTTTTTTTTGGACTGGCTAATGTAAGTGTTCTGAGCACATTTCTTAAGTGTATTTTTTTTTAATACTTTAAGTTCTAGGGCACATGTGCACAACTTGCAGGTTTGTTACATATGTATACATGTGCCATGTTGGTTTGCTGCACCCATTAACTCATTAACTACATTAGGTATTTCTCCTAATGCTATCCCTACCCATCCCCCCACCCCACAATAGGCCCCAGCATGTGATGTTACCCACTCTGTGTCCAAGTGTTCTCGTTGTTCAATTCCCACCTATGAGTGAGAACACACGGTGTTTGGTTCTCCGTCCTTGCGAAGGTTTGCTCAGAATGATGGTTTCCAGCTTCATCCACGTCACTACAAAGGACATGAACTCATCATTTTTTATGCCAGCATAGTATTCCATGGTGTATGTATGCCACATTTTCTTAATCCAGTCTATCATTGATGGACATTTCGGTTGGTTCCAAGTCTTTGCTATTGTGAAGAGTGCCGCAATAAACATACATGTGCATGTGTCTTTATAGCAGCATGATTTATAATGCTTTGGGTATATACCCAGTAATGGGATCACTGGGTCACATGGTATTTCTAGTTCTAGATACTTGAGGAATTGCCACACTGACTTCCACAATGGTTGAACTAGTTTACACTCCCACAAACAGTGTAAAAGCATTCCTATTTCTCCACATCCTCTCCAGCACCTGTTGTTTCCCGACTTTTTAATGATCGCCATTCTAACTGGTGTGAGATGCTATCTCATTGTGGTTTTGATTTGCATTTCTCTGATGACCAGTAATGATGAGCATTTTTTCATGTGTCTGTTGGCTGCATAAATGTCTTCTTTTGAAAAGTGTCTGTTCATATCCTTTGTCCACTTTTTGATGGCTTTGTTTTTTTCTTGTAAATTGGTTTAAGTTCTTTGTAGATTCTGGATATTAGCTATTTGTCAAATGGGTAGATTGGAAAAATTTTCTCCCATTCTGTAGGTTGCCTGTTCGCTCTGATGGTAGTTTCTTTTGCTGTGCAGAAGCTCTTTAGTTTAATTAGACCCCATTTGTCTATTTTGGCTTTTGTTGCCATTGCTTTTGGTGTTTTACACATGAAGTCCTTGCCCATGCCTATGTCCTGAATGGTATTGCCTAGGTTTTCTTCTAGGGTTTTTATGGTTTTAGGTCTAACATTTAAGTCTTTAATCCATCTTGAATTAATTTTTCTATAAGGTGAAGGAAGGGATCCAGTTTCAGCTTTCTACATATGGCTAGCCAGTACCATTTATTAAATAGGGAATCCTTTTCCCATTTCTTGTTTTTGTCAGGTTTGTCAAACATCAGATGGTTGTAAATGTTTAGCGTTATTTCTGAGGCCTCTGTTCCATTCCATTGGTCTATATCTCTGTTTTGGTACCAGTAAAATGCTGTTTTTGTTACTGTAGCCTTGTAGTATAGTTTGAAGTCAGGTAGCGTGATGCCTCCAGCTTTGTTCTTTTTGCTTAGGATTGTCTTGGCAATATGGGCTCTTTTTTTGATTCCATATGAACTTTAGTTTTTTCCAATTCTGTGAAGAAAGTCATTGGTAGCTTGATGGGGATGGCATTGAATCTATAAATTACCTTGGGCAGTATGGCCATTTTCACGATATTGATTCTTCCTACCCATGAGCATGGAATGTTCTTCCATTTGTTTGTGTCCTCTTGTATTTCGTTGAGCAGTGGTTTGTAGTTTTCCTTAAAGAGGTCCTTCACATCCCTTGTAAGTTGGATTCCTAGGTATTTTATTCTCTTTGTAGCAACTGTGAATGGGAGTTCACTCATGATTTGGCTCTCTGATTGTCTGTTATTGGTGTATACAAATGCATGTGATTTTTGCACACTGATTTTGTAACCTGAGACTTTGCTGAAGTTGCTCATCAGCTTAAGGAGATTTTGGGCTGAGATGATGGGGTTTTCTAAATATACAATCATATCACCTGCAAACAGGGACAATTTGACTTCCTCTTTTCCTAATAGAATGCCCTTTATTTCTTTCTCTTGCCTGACTGCCCTGGCCAGAACTTCCAACACTATGTTGAATAGGAGTGGTGAGAGAGGGCATCACTGTCTTGTGCTAGTTTTCAAAGGGAAAGCTTCCAGTTTTTGCCCATTCAGTATGATACTGGCTGCGGGTTTGTCATATATAGCTCTTATTATTTTGAGATATGTTCCATCAATACCTAGTTCATTGAGAGTTTTCAGCATGAAGGGCTATTGAATTTTGTCAAAGACCTTTTCTGCATCTATTGAGATAATCTTGTGGTTTTTGTCTTTGGTTCTCTTTATGTGATGGATTACATCTATTGACTTGCGTATGTTGAACCAGTCTTGCATCCCATGGATGAAGCCAACTTGATCTTGGTGGATAAGCTTTTTGATGTGCTGCTGGACTCGGTTTGCCAGTATTTTTGTTAAATGTACTAAATGCATTTTTTACCTAAAATATTTTCAACTTATGAGTATATCCAGATCCATCATAACACATCTTGGCCTGTGGTTATCAGGATGTAACTCATTATAAGTCGAGGTAGATTTGTATTATATCCCATGTACACACACACACACACACACACACACACACACACACACACACACAGACTTAATCTGTTTACAGAAATAAAAGGAATAAAATACCGTTTCTATTATACACCAAAACTAGCCATCTTGACAGATACTTCACTCTGAAAAATAACGTTTTATAGCTACTTTACAGATTAGTATAATAATTTGGTGTTTCTGTTTCAGAGATTCGATTTCACATTTCAATAAGTAGGCCGCTCCCTCTGCTAAGCCTGGGAATGTAATTCTTTTGAAAAACTATCTGTGCTGTAAAATTACATGTCATATTGGGAAAAGGACAATCGCAAACAGTAGTCACACATAAAATCAAGCAACACAGACATCCTTTTCACATACAGTGAAGACCCTTGTCAATTTTGAGATTACACAGGAAAACAGAATGGGGGACAAGTGTCTCTGACACATAGAAAATCCCGTGAAGAAGAACTCAGCTGACACAATCAAAACATACACAAAACTGAAAGAAACAAGGTGAGTGCTTTTTATATTAGTTCAGCTGTCAAGAAAGTGTAAAATAAACCTAACATTTTTTTACTAAGTGAGGATTTTCTTTTTTGAAACATCATCATTTATATTTATCCAGTTTGCAACTTCATCAGCTGAATCTCAGGATGTGTTCCATGACACTGAAGGACAATTAAATCATATCCATGACAATATATGAGAAGCTGACAGGAGAACATGGTGGCATTTGAATTAATGTCTATCATTAGATAGAATTTCTGATCACATAATTTAAGTTGTAGTTTTCCATACAATTTAATCAAGATAAGCACTTATTAGGTGAGTGATATACTTTGGCTCTGTGTCCCCACACAAATCTCATGTTGAATCGTAATCCCCACGTGTCAGGGGAGGGGTCTGGTAGGAGGTGATTTGATCATGGGGGTGGATTTCCCATACTGTTCTCGTGACAGTCAGTGAGTTCTCACAAGATCTGATGGTTTAAAAGTGTGTGGAACTTCCCCCCGGCTCTTCTCTCTACTGACACCATGTGAAGAAGGCACCTGCTCCCCCTTTACCTTCTGCCATGATTGTTAGTTTCCTGAGGCCTCCCAGTCGTGCTTCCTGTTAAGCTTGCAGAACTGTGAGTCAATTAAACCTCTTTTCCTCATAAATTACCCAGTAGTTCTTTATAGCAGTTTGAGAAGAGATAGATACAGAAAATTGGTACCAGAGAAGTGGGGCATTGCTATAAAAATACCTGAAAATATGGAAGTAACTTTGGAACTGGGTAACAGGCAGAGGTAGGAAACAGTTTGGAGGACTCAGAAGAAGACAGGGAGATATGGGAAAGTTTAAATCTTCCTAGAGACCTGTTGAATGGTTGTGAACAAAATGCTGATAATGATTTGGATAATGAAGTCCAGGCTGAGGGGGTCTCAGATGGAGATGAGGAACTCATTGAGAACTGAAGAAAAAGTTACTCTTGCTATGCTTTAGCAAAGAGACTGACAGCCTTTTGACCCGGCCCTAGAGATCTGTGTAATGTTGAACTTCAGAGAGATGATTTAGGGTATCTGGTGAAACAAATTTCTAAGCAACAGACCTTCCAACATGTGGCCTGGCTGCTTCTAAAAGTTTATGCTCATGTCCATGAAGAAAGAGATGGCTTGAAACTGAAACGTATATTTAAAAGGAAAGCAGAGCATAAAAGTTTGGAAAATTTGCAGCCTAACCATATAGTAAAAAAGAAAAACCCACGCTCTTGGGAGAAATTCAAGCAAAAATTTGCATAAGTAAAGAGGAGCCAAATGTTAATGGCAAAGACAATGTGGAATACGTCTCCAGTACATTTCAGAGACCTTTGAGGCAGCCCCTCCCATTATAAGCCTGGAGGCCTAGGAGGGAGAAATTGTTTAGTGGGATGGGCCCAGGGCCCTGCTGCTCTGGGCAGCCTCGGGACATGGTGCCCAGTGTTCCAGCTGCTCAGCTCCAACTGTGGCTAAAAGGGTCCAAGGCACTACTCAGGCCATTGCTTCAGAGAATACAAGCCTCAAGCTTTGGTGGCTTCCACATGAGGCTGGGCCTGTGGTTGTGCAGAAGGGAAGAGGTGAGGTTTGGGAACCTCCATCTAGATTTCAGAGGATGTATGGAAATGCCTGGATGTCTAGGCAAAAGTCTGCTGCAGAAGTGGAGCCCTTATGGAGAACCTCTACTAGGGCAGTGCAGAGGGAAAATGTGGGGTTGGAGCCCCCACACAGATTCCCCACTGGGGCACTCCCTACTGGAGCTTTGAGGAGAGGGTCATAGTGCTTCAGACCCCAGAATGGTAGATCCACTGACAGCTTGCACAGTGTGCCTGGAAAAGTCACAGGCACTCAATCCTAGCCTGTGAAAGCAGCTGTGGGGGCTGTGCCTTGCAGAGCCACAGAGGCAGAGCTGTCAAAGCTCATGGGAGCCCAGATATTGCATCAGTATGCTCTGGACGTGAGAGATGAGGTCAAAGAAGATTGTTTCAGAGCCTTAAGATTTAATGACTGCCTTGTCGGGTTTTGGACTTGCATGGGGCCTGCAGACCCTTTGTTTTGGCTAATTTCTCCCTTATGGAATTGGAGTGTTTACCTGATCCCTGTACCCCCACTGTTGTCTTGAAATTAACTAACTTGTTTTTGATTTTACAGGCTTATAGGCAGAAGCGATTTGCCTTGTCTCAGATGAAACTTTGGACATGGACTTTTGAGTTAATGCTGGAATAAGTTAAGACTTCCAGTCTGTTGGGAAGGCATGATTGGTTTTGAAATGTGAGAAGGACATGATACTTGGGAGGGGCCAGAGGAGAAATAATATGGCTTGGCCCTCTGTCCCCACCCAAATCTCATCTCAAATTGTAATCCCCTCATGTCAAGAGAGGGGCCTGGGTGGAGGTGACTGGATCATGGGAGCAGATTTCCACATGCTATTCTCATGATAGTGAGTGAGTTCCAAGAGATCTGATGGTTTAAAAGTGTGTGGCACTTCCCTCCTTGTGCTCTCTCTCTCCTGGTGCCATGTCAAGAAGAACCTTGTTTCCCCTTTGCCTTCCACCATGATTTTCTGAGTTTCCTGAGTCCTCCCATTCATGCTTCCTGTAAAGCCTGAAGAACTATGAATCAATTAAATCTCTTTTCTTCATAAATTACTCAGTCTCAAGTCATTCTTTATATCATTGTGAAAACTGACTACTACGGTTAGCAATCTTAAAGAATACTTGTGATTTTGAGAATCAGGCACATATTTTTTTAATAATCGGACTGCTTACAATTGTTTAACTCCTTGCAACTTATAGTTAGTGCCTAAAACTTTGATGACTTTCATTACATTTCAATGGCTCTGTTCCCTTATAGCAAACTACCTTTTTTACTGTACTTACTGTAACTACAGTGCATTTATTTTCAGCCCAAATAGTATTCAGTAATAAGCATTTCTTCCCACATAAGAATAAGTTATATTCCTATTCACTATATTCTAGAATTTCTATTTTCCTTCCACAGTGCCAGCTAAAATTAAAGTGGAATAATCTATTGGGGCCCTGTGTATTTAATGTTTGTTTTCTTAGTATATTATAAACACTGTGAAGGAAGGAAATCCTTGCCTCTTGTTTATACTTTTATCTCCATTATAGAAACACTCTGCATTATTTTCTTACTGCTGCTGTAGCCAATTACTACAAAGTTAGTGGTTTAAAATAGCACAAATATAGTGTCAAACAATTGTGTTTGTCAGATGTCTGCAATGCATCTTATGAGGCTAAAATCAAAGAGTGAGAACTGTTGTGTTCCTTTCTGAAGGTTTTAGGGGAAAATCAGTTTCCTTGACTTTTCCAGCCTCCAGAGGCTGTCCTGATTTGTTAGCTTATGGTCTTTCATTTGTTCAAACCAGAAATGCTGTGTCTCTCTGACCATTCTTTTGAAATCATACCACCTTATGTTTCTAGCCAAGAATGTTTCCCTAGTTTAAACCCATTTGATTACACTGAACTCAAAAGGACACTTTTTCATCTTACCATCCTTAACATTATAATACTTGCAAAGCCCCTTTTACCAGATAGTTAACATATTCACAGCTTCCAGAAATCAGGACATGCGGTTTTTTTTTTGTTGGTTTGTTTGTTTTGTAAACCATTATTTTGCTTACTATACTGTCTTAATTGGAGGAAGCAACTTCTTCGAATAGGTGAATTAATTTCAAATTGATAATGTGATTCTGAATGAACATTAAAGAAATCAACTATTACACCGAACATTACTTTATTGAGCTAAACAAATATTAACTGACTATATAAAATTCATTACACATTTGGAGATAGAATTTTGTACTCTTTAATAAGACTTTTTACATTTTTTGCAATCCTTTTTCTTATTTAAAAAATCAGTACTGTATTAGTACCCACAATATAAGTTTGTTCTAAGAATCAAATGAGATAAACATTTCAGACACCTATCATAGTATCAAGTTCATATCGTAAGCCTAAAATACCAGATGACTTTTATTATTTTCAGAATGTAGTCAAAATCAACATAAAGTTACATTAACACTTGGTTTACTGTATCATAATGCTAGCTTTGTGTCATATCTATCTAGAGAGTACACTGAATAGCTTAAACCAAGTAGAAGGTGATTTCTTGCTTACATAACAGTTTACCATAAGTAATTTTGGCTAAAGACGCATCTTTCCTGCAAAAAATAATTCAAGTTAACGAAGGATCTACTATTACCAAATTGTATCTTCCCAGATTACTTTGTATATATCACCATTCCAGAAGACAAAAGACTACTCATGAAATACAATTTGCACACTTCTTTATATATGAAAAATTCACTTCTCTTCCCTCTGTAAACAACTTAAAGTTTTGCCCAGTTACTGCCTACAACTTAGAGTTCAGGATGTTTCATGACGTGCAGTTCTCTCCCTCAGGCCACTATATGACTTAACGAGGACTAGTGTCCTATAAAGTCAAAAGACAAATTATCTGTAAAATCTAAGTTACCATGGTGAAGCTCCTATCAGAAGACAAAGAAGTCTGCAGAGCACTGACAAAAATATTTCTGAGCAGTACAAATATTTATTTGATGAAACCATAAACATGTCCTGTGGAAATAACTTTAAGGTCCATTGTCCCTGTGGCTCATAGATTTACTTTCTGAGGTAATTTACATTTTCTCTTATTCTCCATGCCTCCATCTTAAATTAGAACAATGAGTGTTTTCTCAGCATGACTAATCAATTGCACTGATTAGTGCAATTTGGGATGCTTGAGGATATTTTAAGCCTTAATTTTTTTTTCTCACAATAGGCTTATTGTACCTTTGCCAAGTAGTTATGTGGAAACCATTTATTTATTTATTGGATCTAGTTTATAACCAAACATACAGTTCTTTCCTAGGTATAATTCTAAAGTCTGCCTCATTTCCTTCTTTTTTCTCCTCCCCAACACACATATGCTTCTCTGACTGTAAAGATGACCACTTTAAGGTCATTTGAAATCATAGACTTGAAAGAGAAAACAACTTCCCTGATGAGTTCTTTGCTTCAGGGCTGGGTTCCTTGTTTTTTATGAACACAGTAGGATTTAATTTCTGAGCAGCTTTTTCAACCTAATCAGAAAAACCTGAGCTTTTCTGTCACTGTATAATTCCACCATTACTAGACTTTTTGTTTACAAGTGGTTTCCAACAAGGAATGACTTTGTTTCCATAGAACACTTGTCAGTGTCTGGAGACATTTTGAATTATAATGATTAGGTGGTGATGCTACTGGTATGTGGTGGTATAGCCTAAAGATACTATTAATATCCTACAATGCAAAGAATAACCTCCCACAGAATGCAGGAATATCAGGCATAAAATGTCAATAATGCTAAGGTTTAGCAACTCAACTCTATCCACTTTCTTTCCACTCTAAAGACAGGATATTTCTTTTTTCTTTCTTTTTTTTTTTTTTTTGCCTGTGTTTATCTATTTCTTGGATTATGGAACAGAACAAACATGAACACATTACCTTTTGCCTTTCCTCATTTCCCACACTCTTTCCTAGAGGTAATATTAAGCTTCCAATTAATTTTAGATGGTAGTTTCAATAATTTTTTTTCACTGGGTATTACAAGTCTTCATTTCAACCCTCTGAGTTTGGTTTACTTGTCCATTTAATACTAATTTAGTGGATACGTTTTAGGTGCTGTTATGGCAGACCCAACTCAAGCTGGTGATTTCTATATTACTTGGAATCGTGCTAGTTGCTTTGACAACTACACTCAACAACATATAATATCTTAAACAGAACAGAAGTTTCATTCATATAAACTGTTTTTTTAAGATAGGAAAAGCATTGCTCCTTTATGTCCGCATTCAAGAACATAGGCTACTAAGGTATTTAATCTGCAGTATGTTGCTTCCAAGACTACTGTAGAATTGGCCGTTCCAGTCAAGCATACTGAAAAACGTATACAGAAGAGTGCATGTTGGGATTTTGGAGACTAAATTGGATATAAAATATGTTATTTCTACTAATTTTCCACTATTTTGACTTTAATCCCATGCCCTAATATAAAGTATATAAGAATGAGAAACATAGTTTATGTATCTATCAAAATAGAACATAAATGTTTGTGAACATTTGAATCTGTCAGCTTCTCTTGCTCACGTGCCTGTAGTGCCTGTACTCAGGATGCTGAGGCAGGAGAATCGCTTGAACCCAGGAGGTGGAGGTTGCAGTGAGCTGAGGTCACACCACTGCACTCCAGCCTGGGCAACAGAGCGAGACTCCATCTCAAAAAAAAAAAGAAGTGACTCAACTGATTGATGTGTAAAACCTCATTGTAAAATAATGTTCTATAAATGAGACATTAATACAGTTAAATTTTTGGATTAAAAAAGTCTGCCACTTTGTGAATATGTTTTATTTAGGCTTGATTTAGTTAATTTTCTTTTTTCTTTTTCTTTTTCTTTTTTTTTTTTTTTTTTCTGAGGAGTTTCACTGTTGCTGCCCAGGCTGCAGCGCAGTGCTGGGATCTCGGTTCACTGCATCCTCCACCCCGCCAGTTCAAGTGATTCTCCTGCCTTAGCCTCCTGAGTAGCTGGGATTACAGGCACCCACCCACCACCATACCCGGCCAATTTTTTGTGTTCTTAGTACACATGGGGTTTCACCATGTTGGCCAGGATGGTCTCGAACTTCAGACCTCAGGTGATCCGCCCACCTTGGCCTCCCAAAGTGCTGGGATTACAGGCATGAGCCACCGCACCCAGCCAGTTAATTTTTCTATTAACTAAGACCTAATTAAGATTGAGGCAGAAGAAATGGGTCCTTGGGATTTGAAAATTACTATTCAATTTGGAAGTTTAATTTGCAACATAGATTGTCTGTTATTAAATTACTAGATATAATATCACAAAGGTGGAAAGAAAGGTTGCTTAGTTAAAGATCTAAGTTACTAGTCATGGTGTCAGATATAGAGAATGATTGAAGGTTATCAGAGTCACACACCAGATGAGTAAATTGTTGTTTTCAAGGAAGAGGTTACATAAAGGTAAGCGGAGTAATATTTCAGCATTTTTGTTAATTAAAAATTTGTAAAGTTATTTCCATTTCAAGGAAATTACTCTCAGTAATTTTACGGGTAAAATGACAAATTCCAAGTTTAATTTTCACATGTAACACCCTCCTTGAGCACTTATTTTTATAAAGCTATTAATCTATTTTGGTCTCAATTTACCTTTCTTTAAAGAGATTTTAAAATTTTCTGAAAGAAGTTGACATCTGGAAGTGTAGCTGTTATATTTTTCAATTTTTAATTACATATTTAATTATCCTTTAATTACTTAAGGTTATTCTCAAAAGTGAAGAGATAGCTGGGATCACACTGCGTAAGATTTTACTCCTGAATGTAATATTCAAAAATGTTACAAAGTCTATCAACGAGGTTTTCATTCTGTGACAATACATGGTCAATTTGACATGGTCAGGAAGCACCACCCCCACTGAGAGATACCAAATTATGGAGTAAACCACCGTAATTTAGGCAGATCTTGAGAGAGAAAATGCTGAGTGGATGCAGAGGCAGCAATGAAGCTGAGCTGAAGAGGGAGGAAGCCTGTGCAGGGAACCCAAACACTACAGCTAGTTCCCCAGAATGGCTCCTAGGAAAGGGCCTCTGCCTGAGAGAGACCTGTGGCCTAGAACACCTAACACAAGAAACACAGTGATTGCAGGAGACTCCCCCAGGGCCCAGGAGCACATCTGGTGATGGAGGCATCTCTCCCACCCCCACTATAGAGCACACCTGCAAACAAAAGGAAGTATAAAACAGCCATGCCACTGGGTATTAGGCTAGCCACTGGCCATCACTCTTAAGCACTATGCATTGGATCACATCCCAAACTACAACATCAAAATTTATCCTGCTACATATACACCTGTGAAACCAAACACAAGAATTACTCATACATAAAAATCCTGGACAGAGAAAGCCCTGACCCTTTGAAAGCATCCAGAAACAAAACCAATTGCCTATACTCAACATACACTACAGTTAAAGGAACACTAACCCTACCAGAAGAGAAAAAATCAGTGCAAGAACTCTGGCAATTCAAAAAGCTAGAGTGTCCTCTTACCTCAAAATTAGCCCACTAGCTACCAAGCAATGGTTCTTAATCAGTCTAAAATAATTGCAACAGACATAGAATACAGAACCTCGATGGCAGGGAAGCTCATGAACATTAAGGAGAAAGTTGAAACCCTAGCCAAGTAATCCAGTAAAGCAATCTAAGTAAGTGCTGAAAGATGAAATTGCCATTTTAAACAACAGCCACACTGAATTTCTAGAGCAGAAAAAATTCAGTATAAGAATTTTATAATACAGTAAGAAATATTAACAGAAGGTAGGCCAAGCTAAGGAAAGAATCTCAGAGCTCAAAGACTGGTTCGTTGAATCAACTGAGTCAAAAGAAAATTTTAAAAAAGAATTAAAAAAAGAAAATGAACCAAAGCTTTAAGAAATATGGAATTATATAAAGAGACCAAATCTACGACTCATTGTCATTCCTAGAAGAGAAACAAAGAGAAAAGGCAACTTGGAAAATAGATTTGAGAATAGAGTCTATGAAAATTTTCCTAACCTCGCTAGAGAGAGTGACATGTAAATCCAAAAAATACAGCAAACCCAGCTAGGCACTATAAAAGGTGACTATCCCTAAGGCACACAGTCATCATATTCACCAAAGTAAATACAAAAGAAAAAAAAAATCTTAAAGGCAGCTAGAGAGAAAGGTCATGTTTTCATAAAGCAAGAACTCCACTAGGCTAGTAGTAAATATCTCAGCAAAAACCTTACAAGCCAGAAGAGATTAAGGGCCTATGTCCAACATCATTAATGAAAATAAATTCCAGGCAATAATTTTATATTTCACTAAACTAAACTTCCTAAGTGAAGAAGAAACAAATTTCTCCTCAGATAAGCAAATACTGAGGGAATCAATTTCAACTTGACCAGCCTTATGAAAGGTCCTTAAGGGAGTGCTATACATTGAGTAAAAAGAATGACACCTGCTACCACAAAAACCCACTGAAGTACATAGCTCACAGGCACTATAAAGTATCTACACAATCAAGTCTACCTAAAAACCAGCTACAAACGTGATGATAGGATCAAAATCTCATGTATCAACATTAACCATAAATGTAAATAGGCTAAACACCCCCACTTAAATGACATACAATGGCAAACTGGATAAAAATGCAAGGCTCACCATCTGCAGTCTTCAAGAGACTCACCTCATATGTAATGACAGCCACTGGCCCAAAATAAGGGGATGGAGAAAATCTGCCATGCAAATGATAACAAAAAAGCAGGAGTAACTATTCTTATATCAGATAAAACAGACTTTAATCAAAATTAAAAAGAACAATTGAAGAATGAAGAGCATTATGTCATGAGAAAGTATATGATCAAACAAGAATACTTAAGTACCCTAAATATAAATGCACCCAACATGGAGCACCCAGATTCATAAAACAAGTTCTTTTTGGACTACAAAAAGACAGACGACCACCCAATAACTGTAGGAGACTTCAACACCCCCGCTGGCAGCACTGGATCATCAAAGCAGATAACTAAGAAAGAAACTGTGTACTTAAACTTCACCCTTGACCATCTGGACCTAATAAGACATCTACAGAACACTCCACTCAATAACCACAGAATATACATTCTTCTCATCTGCACAGGGAACATATTCTAACATTGACCACATGCTTGGTCATAAAGCAAGTCTGGATAAATTTTAAAAAATGAAATCATATCAAGCACACTCTTAGATCTCAATGTAATCAAAATATAAATAAATACCAACATCTCTCAACACTACACAAATAGATGAAAATTAAACAACTTTCTCCTGAATAACTTCTGTGTGAAAATCAAAATTAAGGGAGAAATTTTAAGAAAGTGAAATTAATGAAAATGGGAACACAAATTACCAAAATCTCTGGGATGCAGCTAAATCAGTGTTAAGAGGAACGTTTAAATGCCTTTATCATAAAGTTAGAAATACTTCAAATTAACAATCTAACACTACACCTAAAGGAACTAGGGAAGAAAAAAAAAAGAACAACCCTACATCAACGCTAGGAATGAAAAGAAACAACTAAAATAGAGAAGATCTGAATGAAATTGAGATGCAAAAATCCATACAAAAGATTAATGAAACCAAGAGTTGATTTAAAAAAAGAGATTGATAGACCTTTAGCTAGATAAACAAAGAAAAAAAAGAGAAGATCTAAATATATAAATCAGAATGACAAAAACGACATTAAAAATGGTCCCACAGACATACAAAATAATCCTCAGAGAATACTAGGAATAACTCTAGACACAA
Source organism: Homo sapiens (assembly GCF_000001405.40). Classification (NCBI taxonomy): domain Eukaryota; kingdom Metazoa; phylum Chordata; class Mammalia; order Primates; family Hominidae; genus Homo; species Homo sapiens. The sequence goes on from NW_003315917.2 coordinate 708,353, forward strand.
AAATTAGAAAATCTAGAGGAAATGGATAAATTTCTGAAAACAGGCAATCTTCCAAGATTGAATCAGGAAGATACTGAAATACTGAAGAGACCAATATGAAGCTCTGAAATTGAATAAGTAATAAAAAATCTACCAAGCCAAAAAGCCCTGGACTATATGGATTCACAGCAAAATTCTACCGGAAGTATAACGAAGAACTAGTACAATTCTACTGAAACTATTCCAGAAAAGTTGAAGAGAACGTACTCCTTCCTAACTCACGCTGTGAAGCCAGAAGCAGCTTAATACCAAAACCTGGCAGAGACGCAAAAAAAAAGAACATTCAGGTGACCACTGTTGACGAACATAGACTCAAAAATTCTCAACAAAGTACTAGCAAACTGAATCCATCAGCAGCATATCAAAAAATTAATCTACTATGACAATACAGGCTTTATTCCTGGGATGCATGGCTGGTTCAACATATGCAAATCAATAAATGTGATTCACCAGATAAACAGAATTAAATCAAAAACCATATGATCATCTCAACGGATGCCGGAAAAGCTTTCAATTAAATCCAGTGTCCCTTCATGAAAAAACAAAACAAAAAAAAACCCTCAACAGTTGAGGCTTCAAATAAGCATACTTCAAAATAAAAAAGAGCTATCTACAACAAACCCACAGCCAATATAATACTCAATGGGCAAAAGCTGAAAGCATTCTCCTTTAGAAATGAAACAAGCCAAGGACATCCACTCTTACCACTCCTATTCAACATAGTACCAGAAATCCTAGTCAGAGCAATCTTGCAACAGAAAAAGAGAAAAGCACCCAAATAGGAAGTAAAGATTAAGGCAAACTATCTGTCTTCACCCAACAATATCCTTCTATACCTAAAAAACCTTAAAGACTTCAACAAAAGTCTACTAGAAATGATAAAGGATTTTAGCAAGGTTTCAGGATACAAAATCAATGTACAACAATTAGTAGCATTTCTATACAACAACAACATCCAGGTTGAGAGTTAAATTAAGAACACAATCATATTTACAACACCTAGGATGAAAATAAAATCCCTGCAAATACAACTAACCTAAGATGTGAACGATCTCCACAAGGAGAATTACAAAACACAGCTGAAATCTGAAGCTGGATGCAGTGGTTCATGCCTTTGGGAGGCCGAGGCAGGTATATCGCTTGGACCCAGGAGTTTTGAGACCAACCTAGGCAACATAGTGGAACCTCATCTATACAAATTTTTTTTTTTTTTTTAAATAGCGAGGCATGGTGGCACATGCCTGTAGTCCTAACTACCCTGACGGCTTGAGGCCAGGAGTTCAAGCCTGCAGTGAGCTATAATAACTCCACTGCATTCCAGCCTGGGTGAAAGGGTGAGACTCTGTCTCAAAAAAGGAAGGAAATAAGAAAAGGAAGGAAGGATGGAAGGAAGGGAGGAAGGGAGGGAGGGAGGGAAGGAAGGGAGGAAGGGAGGGAGGGAGGGAGGGAGGGAGGGAGGGAGGGAAGGAAGGAAGGAAGGAAGGAAGGAAGGAAGGAAGGAAGGAGATTTTGATAACACAAATAAATGGAATAACATTCCATGTTTACAGATTAAAAGAATCAATATGTTAAAATGGCCACACTGCCCAAAGCAACTTGTAGATTCAAGGCTATCTCCATGAAACTACCAACATCATTCTTCACAGAATTAGAAAAAACTATTCTAAATTTATATGGAACACCCCCAAAAGCCAGAATGGCCAAAGCAATTCTGAGCAAAAATAATAAAGCCAGAGAGGCGTCATACTACCCAATTTCCAGCTATACTATAAGTGTACACTAACCATGATACTGTTACAAAAGCAGACACTTAAGCCAATGGAACAGAATAGAACACTCAAAAATAAAGCTGCACACTTACCACCATCTGGATCGTGGACAAGGCCAACAAAAACAAACAATGGGGAAAAGGCACCCTATTCAATAAATGGTGCTGGGATAATTCGCTAGCCATAAGCAGAAGAGTGAAACTGGATGCTTACCTTCCACCATACACACAAATTAATTCAAGATGGATTAAAGGTTAAAATGTAAGACTTCAGATTATGAAAACTCTAAAACAAAACCTAGGAAATATTTTTCTCGACATTGGCCTTGGCAAATAATTTTTGGCTAAGTTTCTAAAAACAATTGCAACAAAAACGAAATTGACAAGTGAAAGTCAATCAAACTAAAAAGCTTCTGCACAGCAATAGAAACTATCCACAGAGTAAACAGACAACTTACAGAATGGGAGAAAATATTTGCAAACTATGCATCTGATAAAGATCTAATATAACAAATCCATAAGGAAGAAAAAATGACAAGCATAAAACAACCCCAGTTAAAAAGGGCAAAGCTAATACAGGAGCAGAAAATCAAACTCCGCATCTTCTCACTTATAAGTGGGAGCTGAACAATGGGAACACATGGACACAGGGAGGGGAACAACACACAATGGGGAACAACACACAACACACACTATAATTTTCTGTAGGGGGTTGAGGAGAGGGAGAGCATCAGGAAAAATAGCTAATGCATGCTGGGCTTAATACCTAGGTGATGGGTTGATAGGTGCAGCAAACCACCACCACACACGTTTATCTATGTAACAAAACTGCGCTTCCTGCACATGTACCCCAGAACTTAAAATTTAAATCAAGAAAAGGCAAAGGACATGAACAGATATTTTCTCAAAAGAAGACACTCAAGTATATGAAAAAACACTCATCCTTACTAATCATCAAATAAATAAATGCAAGCAAAAACCACAGTAAGATGCCATCTCACATCAGTCACAACAGCTATAATTAAAAAGTAAAAAAATTAGATGTTGGCCAGGCTGCAGAGTAAAGGGAATGCTTATACACTACTGTTGATGGAAATGTAAACTGGTTCAGGTACTGTGGAAAGTATTTTGGAGATTTCTCTAAGAACTTAAAACAGAGATACCCTTCGACCCAGCATTCCCATTACTGGGTATATATTCAAAGGAAAATAAATTATTCTACCAGAAAAATATACATGCACTCGTACGTTCATCAGCATGTTATTCACAATAGCACAGACATGGAATGAACCTAGGTGCCCATCAAAGGTGGATTGGATAAAGAAAATGTGGTACATATACACTATGGAATACTATGCCTCCATAAAAAAGAATGAAATTATGTCCTTTGCAGCAACATGGATGGAGCTAAGGACATAATCCTAAGCAAATTAGTGCTGGAAAAGAAAACCAGATACCACACATTCTCACTTATAAGTGGAACCTAAACACTGAGCACACAGGAACATTAACATGGGAACAAGACATGCTGCAGGCTATGGGGGTGGGGGAGAGAGGGGAGCATGGGCTGAATAACTACCTACTGGGTACTATGCTCACTACCAGGGTGCACTGTACAAAAGTAACAAATCTGCATATGCACTATCTGTGTCTGGAAAAAACTGAAATTATAAAAACCAAGAGAATATGTTTCTAATGAATGTAGACTTTATTTGATGGACTGGATTAGAATATAATATCTTTTTAAGGGGAAAGGCATTGGGGGATGCACAATGTCTACAGGTTTCTAAACCTCTCTGGTTTCTGACCTAATTCATAGTCTCTTATGTCATTTTCATAGTTTTCATATTCTGCCTTTCCACCTCTTCTTTTTAACAAGTAAAATTCCTCATAGCATACAAAAAAACAATTTTATAAAAAACCCATATTATAGATCAGGGACCTGTGGATTATATGCTATTAGAACTATACAAAATGTCTCTATATAGTTTTCTGTATCTTTGGAATATCTTTGGGTGAAGCTGCAGACCTTCTTGGTGAGTGTTACAGCTCTGCGCAGAGCCAAACAGTGAGCAGCAGCAAGACTGCAAAGAGCAAAAGAACAAAGCCTCCACACTGTGGAAAGGGACCCTAGCACGTTGCTGTTGCTGGCTCTGGCAGCTGCTTTTATTCCCTTATCTCACCCCACCCACATCCTGATGATCGGTCCATTTCATAGAGAGCTGATGGGTTCATTTTACAGAGAGCTGCTTGGTCTGTTTACAATCCTTTAGCTAGACACAAAAGTTCTCCAAGTCCCCACCAGATTAGCTAGACACAGAGCACTGATTAGTGCGTTCACATACCTTGAGCTAGACACAGCATGCTGATTGGTGCATTTACAATCCTCCAGCTAGACGCAGTAAGTTCTCCAAGTACCCACCGGACTCAGGAGCCCAGCTGGCTTTGCCTAGTGCATCCCGGCCGCGGGCGGAGCTGCCCGCCAGTCTCTGGCGCACTGCCGCACTCCTCAGCCGTTGGGCGGTTGACGGGACCGGGTGCCGCGTAGCAGGAGGTGGCGCCCGTCCCCTCGGGGTGGCGCGCGGGAGCCTGCGGTTGGGGGGCGGGGGGCGGGGGGCAGGGGACGGGGGCGGGGAGGAGGGTGAGGGCTCCAGTATGGCAGGCTGCAGGTCCCGAGCCCTGCCCCCTTGCCCCGCGGGGAGGTGGCTGAGGCCCAGCGAAAATTCGAGCGCGGCGCCGGCGGGCCATCACTGTTGGAGGACCCAGTGCACCCTCCGCAGCTGCTGGCCCGGGTGCTAAGCCTCTCACTGCCCAGGGCCGGCGGCGCCAGCCGACCGCTCAAGAGTGCGGGGCGCGCCGAGCCCGCGCCCACCCGGAAGTTGCGCCGAGCCCGCGCCCACCCGGAAGTTGCGCCGAGCCCGCGCCCACCCGGAAGTCGCGCTGGACCGGCGAGCACCGCAGGCAGCCCAGGTTCCGGCCCGCGCCTCTCCCTCCACACCTCCCCGCCAGCAGAGGGAGCCCGCTCAGGCCTCAGCCAGCACAGAGAGGGGCTCCCACGGTGCAGCTGCGGGCTGAAGGGCTCCTCAAGCGCGGCCAGAGTGGGCTGAGGCCGAGGAGGCGCCGAGAGCCAGCGAGGGATGCCAGCAAGCTGTCACCTCTCAGAAATACAGGAAGAACATCAATAATGTTCGAAGTTATAAAGTAGTAGGTTTCTATCAAGAGTAAAACATAAACGAAGTTATAAAGTAGTAGGTTTCTATCAAGAATAAAACATAAACGATCAAAGAATTCCTTATAAAAACATTTTTTATTTCTAGGAATCAAAACATAAATATAAAATTTGAGAGTCCACCAAAAAAAATTAGATGCCAGATTTCACTATAATTATCAGGGAAGCGCCCAAATGGGTTGTTTACGGCGCCTCGGGGAAACTTTCTGTTTCGTGTTAAGGGTCTTGAACCATGATGTTTAGAAAACCATGGGCTGATGCTTTCAGAACCTCTGTGATTTTTGCCTCTGACACTGCATCCAATAGACTAGCATGTTGATTAGGGAAAGCTAAATTCAATAAAAGACGACTGTAAGTGGGGTCACCACCTTGAGGGGTCATGTTAGAAAAGTAGATGATAAGGTGGTATTGATAGAGTATTGAAGTCTGGGCTCAAATGGTTGCCCGGGGCCTTTCAAGACCAATGACTGATAAGAATAGGTAATGTTCAGGACATAGAGTTTAGGATTGGGGGACACTGTGAGTTAAGGGCCATGACAGAAGTCTTCATAAGTAAACTGTTAATTGACACAAGCTGCTACCTGCCCAGGTGAGCAATCTGTTGGCCCAGAGGAGAGTTGCTTACTGACATAAATTGATTTGCAGAAATTTCCTGAAGCAAACAATAAGTTATTTATTGGTTTGCAGCCTTACTTTCCTGAAAAATAATTTTCTGGAATGAATTGTGAAATCATGTTGACACAGATGGCCTCAGGTTTCAGTTCGGATAATTAAGCTGTGTAAATATAGAAAGTCGAAGGTTTCTGGGTGCTGTTGATTCACAGTATGCAACAATGATCATATTACTTTTATTTACTATGAGCTTCAGCTGAAAATCCAAAAGAAACTTTAATTTCAGATATTTAATGAAATCATTATAGCTGTGGTAATTTCCTTTAGCTGGGTGTGAGTGTGTGATGTGAGCGTGTGATGTGTGTGTGTGTGTGTGTGTGTGTGTGTGTGTGTACTCTGGCAGCATATTCCAAATAATTTCTGTAAAATTTCAGTTTGAAATTAATAGAAGACATATTAAATTGTTTAAACTCTTTGTTATTTAAATTCTATATTACTTTAGTCGATTACTCTGTATTATTACGGCAAAGCTTTGATATGTTGCCCTGAATTTAAATGAAAAGGCTGTTCGGCCTAAAAACAGGAATATTTTATTACCAAAAAGAATTAACTACCATATGTCATTTACAGAAAAGAGTAAATTCTTCAGGGCATAGAAAATACACATTTCCTTCTGTTTGTGTGGAAATAAGCAAAATACCTGTTATAATAGATTCCTCACAGAATTTTGTGAAGCTTCAGGTAAACTTGAAAGAGAAAAAATAAAATGCTAGAGTTTCATAATTACAAATTGGGATATAAAAATAGAATAATTATTTGAATTTTGTATTTCTCTCCAGGGGATCAAAAGTAATATATAAACTTTTAATAAATATTGATATAGCTTCACGTTGACTCCATATGTGAGCAATTTGCTTTCTGTTAAATTCACAATTGCATAATTTTTTTCAGGCTGGAATGCACTTGGATGCCAGAGATTTTGATTTCTTCATGTGAAATAAGGTGATAATACATTCCAAAGTATATATTTTTTCAACTTTGAATATATCTGGTGTATTTGGAGTAATATCTGAGTAAATACACTTATATGTAAGAGAATCAAAGGAACAAGATATTATTTTATATCCAAGGAAATTAACACTTAGAACATAAATACGTATTGCATTACTTCATATTAAAGAAATGTTTTACAAAAGAAAATAAAGGAGCTTATTTTATAGCCCCATTTCCACAAATAATAGCAAAGGTACATACACATATCTAATGTTTTACACACTCATTATTGTTTCTCTTAAAATTTGTTGCTTATACTATTTTAAAAGGCAAGCCTATAGATTGTTGTGTGTATATACATATACACACAACATACATATGTGTGTGTGTGTGTGTGTGTGTGTGTGTGTGTGTGTGTATATATATATATATATATCAGCAAGCAAGAGAATGGGCCTCTTCCTACTGAGGTTTAACATTTGCATGTATATGTATATTTTGATTCACATAGACTTATTGTTCTTTAATTACATGAACAGTGATTCCTGGTTACATTATTGGAAAATGGAAGCAATGCTCAAAGAGCATCACCTAAATTTCCATCATATTTTGCTCTCAATATGTTTTGTACATCCAAATATATTGTGATTAATCTGCATACATTTTTGCTGTTCTAGGTGACGCTGGTATGAGGCTAGGTAATACACGACCTTAGTCTGCATGTTGTACTTGTGTAACACACATAATTTTACAGTGCTAACAGGTGCTATAATAACTAACTATAGTTAATGATGAATGAAAGAAGGAAGATGTTAAGATGTTAGGGAAGGACTCAAAAGATGCAGTGCTTGAGTTAGAATTTTAAGGGAGATTATGCAAAAGCAGTCACTTAAGGTGGGTCGGGATGATCTAGAATGTGGGAATGATGTATGCAAAGTCACACAGGAGAGATACAGCATGCATGTTTAGAAAATGTTGATTACATATGGAAAGTTTGCAGGACTTGCATCCTAGAATGTCAGGATTTTAAGCTAAGTAGGGTTCAAATTAAATTTTTCACATACTTCGCTGCATTATAATAACTAGTTTATGTTTAACTCATCCACTAAACTAAGTTATTTGAAAAGAGATGCCAGTGTTCACTCAATCTAGTTGTCTGTCATTAATAATTTAAAAATAATTGAGATTTTAATTTTGGTCTGCTAAGCCTGTTTAATTAAAATTTGACATTAAATAAGATTTTACAGGCCTCATTTTTTTTTTCAGTCATCACAGTTTGAATATTAAACATTACTACTTTTATCTCCCTCAGTCAGCATAAAACATACTACTTATGGTTTTAATAACCAAATTCAATGAGCACCAACAAAATTTGATGTAACTATTAACTTTGAAATTTTGTTGAAATAGAACTATGCCTTGGGTATCATTCAAAGCATTTAATTGTTGCAATAAAAAACTTTGAGATAAATTGAAATGATGGACAATATGGGTCGAAAGCAACACTGGCTTGAGGGAATAGGCTAATGTTTGAGAACAGAATTGTTAAGGACAAGATTGGATGTTTATATTACTTTAGGAAAGACACACTCTAATGGAGTTTAATTCTAAAATGTTTAATATTATGAAAATATTATATGTTATATGATCATTATAGAAAATTAAAAATATAAGAACATCAGAAGCAAAATAGTCAAAGTCTACCTAAACCCAATTAGAAGTGAATACTATTAATCTTGATTTGCATGTTTCTAATCTTATTATTATCAAATTAATAAACAGCTTTCAGATATTCTGCTTCTCCCTGTTACTAGATCAGGATAATGTCATTTATGTACAGGCATCTCCTGCTTACTCAGTTCAGCATTGATCAATAAATATTTTAGACTTCTATTCAAAACACTTCCATTTTTCTTTTGCCCATATTCTTTTTATTCAGTGCTGCCTGTTTTCAAATACACAACACTTTGTCAAACAAATTCCAACATTAGATTGGATATAGTTGGTATCAGAGTAGTAATACACATTGCCATTCCTAATCCTCAGTGCATTGATCCTGAAAATTATTTGTAAGAATAGAAAAATACTGGATATTTCAAATTAAGTCTCATTTTGTTGCTTACCCATGAAAGACTGGAATTAACCAACATAACCATTACAAGGTGATTGAGCAAATGAATAGATGGAAAATATTATAGAAACTTTACTGCAGTTCATCAACCATTGTGGTCATTAGGCCGTAGGAAAATACAGTGTGACAGTACCCCTGTCTTCTTTTCCATTTGTTAAGTCTCATATCCAAGTAACAGTGGGTAGACCTTATGAGAACCCAAAGTGAGATAAAAATAATTTTTGGCTTTTCAATGTATCTTATTTGATCTAAGAGGTATTTCCCCGACTTTGATGCAATAATTCTTGTCACAAAATTTGACTTTACTGAAGACCGTTTTAAGGATCTTTGCAGCTGACAGCAGTGACTTTTTTACCTCCTACAAAGTTTCAACTGACAGTCTTATTGTCTCTGACTTTCCCAAATTAATGACATAATTAGTCACCAGGGCTTTGGCTGCTCAATAGGGATTTAGTAAGCAATGAGTCATATGTTGGGGAACACTTCAACAAACAAAATGTTGGCAGAGAAAGATGTATGAATCAGCTAGGAAGAAACACTATTCTATCACTGAGGATCTTTCTAATATTAGATATCACAGAAAAATTTTCATATAGATTACCATATGAGTGAGCCAAAACCTCTAGGAACAAAAAAGCTTAGTATAATTATAACTCCTTGCCATGATTTAACTTAAAATTTCTTTACTTATTTAGCAATTCTATAAACAAGAATCATTTCTGTTAAGGATACTAAGGAGAGTGTTCCTATTGAATCAGAACATTTAAAAGAAATAATTGAGGGAACTCACACATGTAAAACGTCATTAACCAAACTAAAATAAAATGTGAGGGCATAAACTTAACCAGAAATGTTTAAAACCTATATATAAAAAAAACTAGAAAACACTTCTGAATGGCACAAATTTGGACTTGAGCACGGGGAAAGAAATTCCATGCTCTTGAAAAAGCCTTAAAATCATAAATGTGCCAGTTCTTTAAATAAACTTATATCTTCTGTGTCATAACAAAACGACATTTTCTAGAATTTCTTTTTCCAGATTTAGAAAAATAGACAAATTTACTTGGAGGAATAAAGAAGCAAGAATAGCTAGAAATATCCTATAAAATCAATGGAATTTGGAGTCAATACAAAATATTAAGCAATTCTTAAAGCTTCTATGATTAAAATGAGTTATAACTACAGATAGATGAAGATCATATAGAAAATCAAGACATTGACAGATATGGAAAGGTGGTATATAATGAAAACATTTCAGATCAATGAGGGGGAAATGTTAACCGGAAAAGAATATTAAAAAGGCAATGAACTCAATAAGACAACAAGAAGCAAACCACAGAAAAATAACTGGACTGGATTAGAAAGAAAATATTTTAGACACTTCAAAAATAAAATATTCAAATAACCAATGAACTTATTAAAAGGTTTTTATTTATATTGGTTACCTGAAAAAATAATTCAAACCACAATGAGATGTAAGTACTTGTCATTCAGAATCCTGAATTTGAAAGGAATATTTTAGAATTCTAAGTTGAAGAGAAAGTGCAAAGTATTGATGAGAATGTTGACTAATTAGAACACTCAAATTGATGTTATTGGCATAACTTAGTTCAAATAATTTGGATAAAGATATGTATTAGGCCCCAAAATTCTACTTGTAAAGATGGTTTCTCCAGAAATGCATGCATATATATAGCTAAAAAAAATGTGTACTCATGAAAACACTTTTCAGAATAACACCAAAATAACCCCAAACTGTGGCCCAAAAGTGGACTAAAATACTTATAAAGAGTACAGTAAACAAATAAGTTGTAATATGATCACCTAATAAAATATTAGAGAAATAAATATAAATAGTTTCATTTGCAGGTCATATAGTCAATTCGTCTCACAAATATAATATTAAGCAAAAAAATGTGGTTCAAAACACTACACACACTATTTGATTCCTTACTGGTAAAAGTTAGAATAGTGTTATGTTAGGAGGGATGGGTGGAAATCAGATGTGTGACTATTACATTTTCTTATTCTGGATGATCATAGTATTTTAAAACTCACTAAGCTTTAAACTTATGTGCATTTACCCATGTGTATACAATACTTTAATAGAAGCTTCAAATCAATGAGAAAACATGAAACTGTCTGATGGAAAAATAGCTTGAGGAAATGAACAGGTATAGCAGAAAAGAAGGGCTGCATATAGTTTAAAAACTTGAAGAGATGTTTAATCTCTTTGCAAATAGAAAAACATACGCATTTAAATTGAAATACCATTTTCATGTTCCAAAATTAAAATTATTAGAAATATGATGGTATACAGTGATGGTAATATGGGAGAAAGGAAACATCCTAGGCAATTTGGCTAAGCTTTTCTGAGAAAGATTTAGGCAATATGCCATTAAAAGATTTAATGTGAACAAATGGGAAATTTGCCCACATAAATAAATGGAAAGATACTCTATTTTTCCTAATTTAATCTGAAAATACCTAAGCCCCTGATATTTTAGAGACATAATTTTCACTGCGATGGTCATAATTTTAAAAGGTTGCATCATCCATTTTTAGTTAACATATATTGTACTAACATCACATATCTATGTAACAGAAAAATAGAGTCAACTCATGTAGGGACAGACATGAAAATGACAAATACATATAGAGATAGAAAGGTATCTTGTGCATTATACTGAGAAAGACAATAGAAATAAACAATTTACATGGGTTGATTTATTTTGATTAAGATATATAAGTGGTTAGATAAATGTTAAATAGGTCAGTATGTAATTACAGAAAATGACAAATTGTTATGTATGGTACATTTGTAGGCATAACACAGACATTACATTTTGGAAAATTGTGTTCTATGCAACAGTGCCAAGTCTAATGAAAGTAAGAGGAAGAGGAATTCAGCCAAAGTACCAACCCCTGTTATCCATTCCTTAAGAAAGGAACTTCTTTATACACTCAAAAGAGGGGATTCTTTTTAAATTTGTTTCCAGAGGGGCATCTGCATACACATACACACACACACACACACACACACACACATTTACATTATATTTAAATGTGTGTGCATGATATATATATATACATGTATTTATTTATTTAATATATATGTGTTATCTGGGTCCTATATAGGAACACACACACACACACACATTTTGAATCAAACACTCTTTCGTATAATTTTGGTGACAAATGTATGCAATAAATGAGAATACTTTAACTTTCCAAAAAGCTATTCAAAAGTATAATTTTCAAATAAAATATATGTTTGTATGACAACAAATGATTTTTTACAAATAATATATTCTGCATTATCAATCTGCCACTGGTTTTTATTAAATAAAAAAACCTGTAAGTTTGTATGCTCTTAAAATACATATAACATTTGTAAGAATAGTTTTTATGTAAAAATAATTATAGTTCACTATAACTATGTTAAAAATAGACATAGCCAGGCAAGTCGCTCATGCCTGTAACCCAGCACTTTGGTAGGCTGAGGCGGGCAGATCACTTGAGGCCAGGAGTTCAAGACCAGTCTGGCCAACATAGCGAAACCCCATCTCTAATAAAAATACAAAAATTAGCCGGGCATGGTGGCCCATACCTTGTAATGCCAGCTACTCAGGAAGCTGTGGCAGGAAGATTGCTGGAACCCGAGAGGCGGAGTCTGCAGTGAGACAAGATCATGCCACTGCACTCCAACCTGGGTAACAGAGTGAGACTCTGTCTCAAAAAAAAAAAAAAAAAGAAAAGAAAAGAAAAGAGAAAAATAGACACAGATGAAGGGTGTCTTTGATTATGCAAATAGATTACCCATCTTGTACTCACTGTGTTTATTTCAATAAATGATCCACAGAATATGCTACTTTTGATTTATAGTTTTCTTCTCCTTCACCGCTGTGGACTGGGAAAATATTTCTTATTATTTCTGCTGCAGAGTAGCAAAAAATTATGAGCCAGAAGGAAGACCACTACAACAAGCAAAATCTCTGAGTAATCATAAAATGAAGAACTATTTCCTGTTGGGATTCACTGTGACGAATTTGATTTTAAATTCTTGATGTTGGCATTTTATTTTTAAAACTTAGCTTTCTTGCCTATTCTGAAATTGTCAAAAATTCAGAAAAACAATCATGATCATTTGCTTGCTGACCAGTGGAGACCTACTGATTTTTAGGCTGTGAGACTACAGTAATAAATAAATAAAAAAGTTCATACTTCCTTCTATCGAGGGAAATTGAGCATTTTTCTCATAGTCCTAAATCACCAGATCAAGGGATATATGTAATACTTGAGTGTTGACATTTTATTAATTTTTATATTTAACTAGAGCTGTAAAGTTGAAACAAATGGGTCAATGCAGTAGCCCATAAAATATTTTAAAAACACATAAAAGAAATATCACTAAAATTTAAACATAAAAAAAATACAAAAAAACCCTGAGCTATAGGAAGGGAAGTATCCTCTAAATGCCCAAGTTGAAGGTAGTCCTCTTAGAAAGGCACAGTAAGAAGCAGTGTTTGATGGGAACGTGATTTTTCAAGTATTTGAATTTTCAAACTCACCACATTAACTGAGTAAAATGAAAAAAATATATAAACTTCCTCTGAGGCAGAAAAAACATTTGGCATTTTCAAGATAGAATTATAATAAAAATATCTCGCCCCAATAGAATACAAAGAAGCATCCTTAAGCAAATAGAAGGCATCTACGGAAATATCACACTGAAGTTTGAACTAATAAATTATTCATTTAAGATCCAGAAGAAGACAAAGTGTCCTCTTTCACTATTGTTCTCTCTACTGTATGGGAGGAATTAACCAGTGAGACAAATCAAATAAATAAGTAAAACATACACAGTTAAGAAATGAAAAATACAATTCTAAATTTTTAAACAACTCCATTACCTACACATAAACTTCTAGTGACTGTAAAAATCAGCTGCTGGAATAAACTAGTAATTTTAGCCACATCATAGAAAAAATAAGTCAACCCATTAACTTATTTCTATATATTTCCAATGAGCAATTAATGATAAAAATCAAATCCATGTAAAATACTAATAAAAATAAAATATGTATATATGATTTTAACAAATTACATGCAAGATCTCTCTAAATAGGAAACTAGCAAAAGTGTTGGGAGATGTAGGAAAGTTCTAAATAAATGGAGTCGCATACAATAATTGATGGTTTTGATGTGTGTCCCTGCCCAAATCTGGTATGATGTAATCTCCAATGTTAGAGGTGAGGCCTGATGGGAGGTGATTGGATCATGGGGTGGATTTCTCATGAGTGGTTCAGCATCATCCCTCTTGATACTGTTCTCATAATAGTGAGTGAGTGAGTTCTCATGAGATCTGGTCATTTAAAAGTGTGTAGCAGCTTCCCCTTTCACTCTCTTGCTGTTCTGGCCATGTGACGTGCCTGTCCCCCTTTGCTTTCTGCCATGATTGTGCGTTTCCTGAGTCTTCCCAGAAGCTAAGTAGATGCCAGCATCATCCTTCCTGTATAGCCTGCAGAACAGTGGGGCAATTAAACCTCTTTTCTTCATAAATTGTCGAATCTTCTGTATTTCTCTATAGCAATGCCGGAACAAACTAATACAATAATCATGGCTTGAAAGTTCAGTGAATTTTAGTGTGTAAAAGGTTTTGGTTTTTCCAAATTAATCATTCTAGAAATCCTCACCATAATCACAAAAGATATTTTTATATAAATTGACACACTGATTTAAAAATGTACATCAAGAGAGCAAAAACAAATGATAGAAAGCTGAAAAAAAAGTTGGAATACTCACACTTCCTAACACCATGCAATAACTTAAAGCTATAGTCATCGAGAGAATGTGTTATTAGTAGATGGATAAACAATTAGAGTAATGGAATGGAATAGAGTTCACAAATAGATCCATGCTTATATGAATAATATAATATCAAAGATACTGCAGTTATTCAAAGGGGAAAGATAATTTTATTTAACAAAGTGTGCAGAACTACGAGATAAATGTGAAGAAAACAAACCTCAAGTCCTTCCTCACAACAAAAGCGTGAATGAGTTCAAAATTAAAGGAGTCCAAAATATATTATGGAACAATGTGTAAAAGTGAAAGCATAGGCTTCAAATATAAAGCACAGAAAATGTCTTAGTAAACTACATGAAAGCACTTCTTTTTATCCAAACTGTGGATACATTTCTTTTTATTCAGAAAGCAATAATTATATAATGATAAACTACAGAAATGTGTAAATATATTTATACTTTAATGTTTATTTTTAATTACACAATTATATATACTATTTATTATGAATAAGAGCAAGAATATATAAATATAATGTACAACATAGAAACAAGAGAGCTATAAAAACTAACAGATGCTACACAAAAATGATATAATAGCAAATAAGCAAATGAAAAATTTCTTAATATCGTTAGTAATAAAAAATAAAATGAGATAATTATACACATCTACTAGAAAAGCTACTATTTTAAAAATTGTGTTACCAATATTTGGCATAGATGTCAAGAAACCAGACTCTAGAGTTTGCATACATCGACGGTGGGAGTGTAACACAGTACAGCTACTTTGGATAACTAAATCTACCTTACATGTACCAATTCTACCCCTAGGCATTTATCCTAGGGGGGAGAAAAGCATAAGTCTGTAAAAAGGCTTGCACAAGTACCTTTATTCATTATTGTCAAAAACAGACACCATGCAACTGTCCACCAAGAGCGGCGTTCTCAAGTTCAGCACTATTAGCTGTTGAAGTGGCTTAATTCTTTGTTGTGGGGAGCTATCCTTTGTGGAACCCTGGCCTGTGGACACTCTATCCCCTCCTCCACAAACCTCTGATAACCAAAAGTGTCCCCAAACATTGGAAATGTCCCCGGCAGGTAAAATGTCCCTCATTTGAGAACCTCTGGTCAAGAGTTTAGTAAATAAATTATAGTGGTATGTCTATGAAATGAAATAATACGTAACAATAAAAAAAGGTGCTACTTCAACATGCAAGAAATTGTTGAATCTCAAAAATATTATGCTTAAGGAAAAAAGACAAAAAGAATTCATACTCTATAATTCTACTGATATATAATTGTAGAAAATAAAAGCTAATATATGGTAATAAAACCAGATTAGTACTGGATTGACAATGTGTTGAAAGTCAAAAGAAGAGGCTTGAGATCTCTTTCTAGTGTGATGGTTTTACAAGTATATACGTATGTTAATGTTTAAAAATTTCACACCTCAAAAATGTGCAGTATACCAGATGTTAATTATATCTCATAAAGCTATTAAAATTTTATCTCAAAATTATAGCTTTATTGCATTTAGGGCATTATCCAATTTTGAATCTAGTCCAGTTATCATAGCTTAATGCAGTATTATGAAAATAATGCCTATAAAGGTCCAGTTCCTCAAACACCCTTGGAACCAATTTTGTCATCTATATTAGTTACCTTGGGCTGCTATAATGAAGTACCACAAGCTGTGTGTCTTTAAGCAACAGAAATTTCTTCCCTCACAGTTGCGGAGGTCAGAGGTCAGAAAACAAGGTGTCTGCAGGACCAACCTCTCCTCTGGATGCTCTAGGTGAGAATCTTTTCCATGCCTTTCTCTTAGCTTCTGATGTTGCCGTCAGAACTTCAGATGGTGTTCCTTGGCTTCTGTCAATATTAATACATAAATCCTTTTCAGTCTCAGCTTCTCTCTTCACATGGTCCTCTCCACATCCTATCTGTTTCTGTTCCCTCTTCTTATAAAGACAACCCATGTTATTTTAAGTCCCACCTACAGAGATAATTTTAGCTTGATTACATCTGCAAAAACTTTGTGTCCAAATGAGGTTTCATTTACCTTATGTGTATAACTAGGGGTTAGGGCTTGAACATACGGGTTTGGGGAGGGGAACACAGTTCAGACCATGACACTCATTGTTTCACTCATTAATGAGTTAAGGGTGCTTTGATATTATTACATTTGAATGAGAGTGGTCTTTAAAATTACATTTTGTCGTGTAGTTTGTTCCACCCTGATGCTTAAAGGGAGTCACCTGCCTCAGCCAATTAAACTGTGTTGTCTCTGCAGTGCGTTTTATCACAAGAACATGACCTTTAAGCACAAGAACACCTTGTACTCCACCACTAAAAACAGAAATGACATCTACCTTCACTGCTTCCCTATTTCTCTCCATCTTTACTGACTTGGTATTTTGTTGTTGCTGTCATTTCTGGTTGTTGGTCAATTTTCATTTCTGTTCTTATTTTGCTGATAATTCTTATAAATCAGTGCTGAATTTTGTCAAATTATTTTTCTGCATCTCTACAGATGATCATTTTATGTTTTCGTCCCTGTGATAATTTAGTGAATGTCATTGATCAATTTTTAAATAATGAATATCTTTGCATTTAAGATAATATTTTTCACTATTAATGTTATCTCTGAAATGAAAGCTAAACCTAGTCAATAGATATTAGAGGTGCATGATTTTTAAAATTGTATAAAATTAGATAAAAAATACAAAGAAATATATATAATTTTAAAACTATGTAAAAATGTAAATGCCAAATGATAGAGCACTAAATGAAGCTTGTAATATTAAATACAATCTTTAGAAACTCTTTTGCAGTGCAGGAAAAAAATAGAACTGAAAACAAAGCAGAAGAAATCACAGATATAAAATTAAAGAGGATAGAATTAAGCACCGGAGTTCCCACATCTAAAGTGAAAATCTAAGAATTTAAATATCATTCAAATGCAGACTAAAATACAATATAAAATAAAATTTCCTGAGCTAATTTTTAAAATACTGCTTAATTTGTAGGTAAAAATGCAGACTAATTTTCTGACTATATTACTATAAAAACCTTCTACAAATATTTTTTAACTAAAATTATAAGAAAAACATCCGCCATAAACACGTAAGATTAGTATTTTCGTTTCTGAAGTATAAAATGTCTGGATAGACTTGAGCTTGTTGCTTTAGTTTTATATGTGAAGACTGGAAAAATTCTGTTTTGTTTTGAAAAATATTTTGAGCTAAAAATGTTGTATTCCACATTTGTTAGGAATGGAAGTCTTTAAAATATGAAATATTTCCAATTGAAGAAAAATAGTGAAAATGAACTTTATCTGAATAAGATTAATGAAAATTACATGTTGAAAAAGTAAAATAGTTATGTGTACTAACAGTGACTACTAACCCAACAATATAAAATTAAGTAAAAATATTATTACCATGTTAAATACAAATTAAAATTAATTATAAAAAAGTTAAGATCTATGATTAAAGTATTAAAATAAAATGAGACTGTATTCACAAATCTAAAAGCAAATTGGTGAATGACATATTTTTTGAAATAATAAATTCTTTGGCATATTTTATATTTTTTATTATAAATGAAAATTATTTATTTGAAATATTTAAAGGAACAAAATATTTGCAGCTCTATTTTATTGAGAAAGGAATTACAAAACAAAAACAAGGAGCTTTTGTAATTACAAAAGAATATATTAATAATATTATTTAGAAGCACAAAACCAGAAAAGCTTTATATTATTTCTAACAATAAATGTAAACCATCTAATTTTCTGAAAAGGGGTGGAAATAAATATTTAACAAAGAAGATGTTATTCTTAAATTGTAATATGTACATTGCCTAAAAATAAAAAGGTAGTTGAAGATATATTGTGAACAACAAAAAATGAAGAGCTGATAATATTAATGTGCGAAGGAAACTCATAACATATTGTACTAATTATAAATCAGTGTATTGACAAAACCTGAGTCCTCAATTATTATTGACTGTCATTGACATGTTAATGATAGAATATTAAATATAGAATATAATAAAGCAATTTAGAATAAAAAAGAGAAAGCGATAGACATGAATAGAAACAAAATGCAACTGTTCAATATTAAAAGCCTTTCTAAATTGCTTGTGTTTTTCTAGTGACCTGTTTCGCTATGCAGTGTAGGCTCAGGTGTCTAGATTTTAGTTGCAGATAAACACAGGTAGTGTTTTCCAGATCTCAGAATGACCAGTTACATAAAAATAGGCCATAAACCATATATTTCATTCTTACGGTTGACAAACCTCTAATTCACCTGAAAATATTAAAAAGAAAGAAGACAGACGTGACAGTGGTTGGAAGTTGAGGATAAGAAGAAGTTGGCAGAAATAAGCTTTCTTCTTTTGGACAGCAATGCATGATAAAAAAAATTAAACTAAATTCAGTTCATTTCCACTAACTGGGACTTATTTAGAAACTTTAAGAAAGTCTGAAGAATTTCAATTGAGGAGTAAATAAGGGCCAATTTATTTCATAGTGTGGACTCTCAAGACAATATACAACAGTGCTTCTCAAAGTTAAACAGTGTATGAGTGACCTGGAAATGAAGATGCAGATTTAATAGGGCTGGAGAGAAGTCTGAGATTCTCAATTTCTAATGAATTAAATTACAAAGAGGAGAAAATAAGGTTATTGCTTACTTTATATACATTCACAAACACAGGCTAATCAAATAATTGTTTAAAGTATTGCTCTGATAAGAATTAAATTACATAGTTCATAGGAAACATTTTCTTTACATTCGGATTTTATCTATTATTAGAATAATAATAGAATCTTGACTTTATGTAACTCTATGTTCCAAACAACTAGAAACTTTTCGATAGCAATTGTTCACCATTTAATAACATTTTTCCAAGATACCTAATGCACTCAAGGACAAAATAGCTGCCTTCCAGTGATTTCCAATTTATTCAATTTTCAGGCCATCTGTCTGCCCACACAATGACAGATTATAGTTACATTCTTGCCATGCTCTGAACAGCTAAGCCAATTGTTTTCAATCTTTTTTCTTCAGCAACTCCATCTCTTAAAGTACTTCAGAGTAGTTCCTGAAAGGATTCCTCTTTAGTTAAATGGCTATACAGCTCTCCCATCATCCAAAATAATCAGTGGAGAGATAGCAATATTTTTCATTACATTAGGCCAAGTTCCATTGCTTCCTTCATCTTGTAATCTGATCAGAAACACCACTATAGATTCAATAATTGAGTTTAGAGTTTCAGAGAATTTGGGGTCACAGAACATCTATGTCTATTTTGTAAAGATTATTGCATATTACTGAAATAGCTTGTCAAACACTGCAGTCTGCTTAAAGTATCAAAATAGAAATGTTGAATGCTGTGTCTGCACAGAGTTCATTTAAGCAAAGAATCTACTAGGCTCTTAAGTCTGTTAATGCAAATTCCTGAATACAGCTGACCCTCCATACCCCCATTGTGGGTGGATTTAACTAACCATGAATCAAACATATTTGTTAAAAGAAATACCAAAAATAATTTTTAAAAAGAAATACAACAATAAAACAATGCAAATAAAAAACAATCCTTATAACAATTATGTGCATAGCATTTATATTGTATTCAGTATTATTAATGTAAGTAATCTGGAAATGATAGAAAGTATACAAGAGGGTGTGTGTAAGTTATATGCAAATACTAGGCCATTTTATATAAGAAACTTGAGCATCTCTGGCTTTTGCTATGAAGGGATGATGGTGGTAGGATTGGTGGTGGTCCTGGAACAAATCCCCAGCAGGTACCAAGGGGGACTGTAGACCCCAAAGCTGTTTAGGAATGGGTCACAGCAGCAGGACTGAGGCAGGAATGCTCCCCACAGAAAACATCAACCACCTGTTGATTTTTGAATCTGCTCCTCTCAGGCATGCCTTCAAATGCTATAACCTGGAGATTCAACTCATTTTCATGCTGCTAAGTAGGAATAGGTGATTCAATTCCCCAAGAAAGTGACAGAGGTCCCTGAAATATAGATTTAAAGTTACATAGTGTCAAATGCTAGTCATTTTCTTTTTGCTCGATGGTATCCTCTCAGAAAAACCTTTTATAATATTTCTAATTCATTTACCAGATTTATAGAATCATCAAATTGTCTATCCATGTGTTTTTCAAATATTTTGTGAAGTGTCTAGGGTAACAACCTAGTGTTCGAACGTATTTTGTGAAGTGGCTAGGGTAACAACGTAATGTTCGAACTTATGTTCGTATTTAAATACAAATGTATTTTGGTTGAGTGATTACTCAAGGTCACTGAGGAATCCACAAGGTTAACCTCCTGACTCTAGAACCATTGTTATATAGAGATATATAAATAGCTGATTTAATATTATAGGCTTAGCAAAATATTTAATAAATAAGGTCTTAGTAAAACAACACACATGTATTTATCCACTTATTTAATTTTGTTTTTCCATTTCTTCTGAACATAAGTTCCTGAGGACACGGGCCTTTTTTCACAGTTCATTTTTGGATTCCAACATCTAGCCAGTACTTTGCAAAGAGCACTGAATTTGAAAGAAATTTCTCAGTTAATGATTTGAATCATATAAAATATTTAGTAAATTTGAAAACTAGTAACCGTGTAAAGCGATTAAAACAAACATACTAGAGGGTAATAATCCCCCGCCCCTTGCCTTCTTCCTTTACATCCACTTCATTCCTATTCTTGTCTACTTCCCCTGCCCCACCCAGGGAACGTGGTTAGCCCATCAACTGCAAAGACTGTTCTCATATAATATTGTTCTGATGGATAATGAGACTCTGAAAGTGGAACATAAACAGATAAAACAAAAACAAACAGAAAAGAACCCAAAAACCTAAACTCAACTTCAGTTAAAGCAGAAAATATCTGTCCAGCCTAAACCAGGCATACTCCACAGACTTCTGTTAGACGCCTGATCCTACTTCAGTCTGGAACCACCTAGTCTTCAGGTTTGCCTGGTGCTCACCAGCTGAAGAAATCCTTTAACGACCTTTATTCAGTCAAGTAAATCGTTTTCTTTTGGCAACTTGCATGTTATTTTTTAGGTTTTCATTTATTTATTTTTTTATATTTAAAGTCATATTTTCTTCCTTTTATTCACTTTGCTGGTCTTTCTCACTTTGATTTTTTTTTTTTTTTGCCTTGTTTTGCATTTGTTTACTTTAACATTTTTTGTAACTTATCTCTTTTATTTTGGAAATTATTCACATTATCAGTTTTCTTTTGCTAGGCAATTTTGATATTCTAATAAACATTATTAACATAAAATATAAAGTTTACTAACACCAAGCCCAAACAATACAAAGTCTTAGGGCTCTTTAATTGCAATTATTTAAAAATATTTGCTACAAATTGTTCATTATTTTATATTCATGTTGTTTTTCTTATTCCCACAAATCACATATTGTTGGTG
The DNA here is from genome assembly GCF_000001405.40 of Homo sapiens. Classification (NCBI taxonomy): domain Eukaryota; kingdom Metazoa; phylum Chordata; class Mammalia; order Primates; family Hominidae; genus Homo; species Homo sapiens. The sequence continues at coordinate 730,395 of NW_003315917.2, forward strand.
TGTTTGTTAAATAAAATTGTGACTGCTTATATATGTTTTTTCACATCCTTTCTTCTTCTAATATTTTGGAATTTACATCCAGTTAATTATCCTTTATTCTATGGTACATACTGTAAAAGTTACTATTCTTGGTAGTAAACTCTCAGTTTTTGGATTGTCTGAAGATGTCTCTATTTTGATCTGCTCTTGAATTCTAAATCTAATTGACATAAAATTCTAGATTTGCCATTATCATTTATTAGCACTTCAAAGATATTCCACAATTTTCTGACTTTCAATATTTTTGTTGGTAAAAATGGTGATTGTTAATTGGCTTGCATATTCTGTTTTGGATATTCCACTGTTTCCTTATAATTTGTTTATTTATAAGGAAACTTATAAACAAATTATAAGGAAACAATAGAATATCCAAAATAAAGAGAATAGTTATGGGTTCGTATAGATAATTCTTCAGAATCTACTAATTTGTGTCTTTCTTCTTTACTTCTGTAAACTTTTCAGCTACTATATATTAGAATATTTCTTAACTTTTTTATATTCATTCTGAAATTTCTTGCTGAAATTTGTTCAGAAGGTGAGTTAACGGAGCTATACATCTTTAGTGTCATGTGCTCTAAATTGCAAAATACATGTATTTTTATTTCAGACAACTTGAGTAACATTTGTGCAAATGTTTTATATACACGGACTTAATTTGGTAAATTTAGGCATGTGGTAGACAAATTTAAAAATGTATAAAAATCGTGGGCAAGCATATGAACATTCTATTTTTGCTACTATAAAAAAATAGCAGACTATCCAACTATTTTATGATACTCAACGATACATCTTACTAAATGGTCACGACTCTTGCCTCTCAGGGTCAGAGTTTGCAATAGTGAAAGCAAGAGAAAGCCACGGAAAAAAAAACAGGGAGAGGGAAAATATTAAGCTCTAGAATATGTACATTGTTTTGCTTGTATAAATTTAGAACATTCAACACATGTTTACAATGAATACATATAAAATACCAATGACATGAGGAGAATTAGAATAGAAATAAATACAAGGATTCTTTCATGATAACTAAAAATATCAGTGAAGGTTTGTACATAAAATTTAGGGATTTTATATTATTACCTAATACAATTCTGGCTATAACATCACTAAAGGATTGTAAACGTCTGCTGGGAAACCTATGGGAAAAAAATGCAAGTGGAACTGGTGTCATACAAACACATTTTCTAATGGGAAGCTTAACTGGTGAAATGTAAGTTGGAAACATTACTCAATTTAGGTCTATGAAAATGTTTTCCCAAATACAATCTTTTCTTGTTTGATAGGAGGTTTTACTGTGATGTATTATTTCTGACAGCCTCTTTTTTTTTTTTTTAAAGGAAACGAGTAGAATTAAGTGAATTGATTATCATATCTAACCTGTAAGTACAAATTACTTTCCCTTGGAATTACATAATTGATAATTGTACATCCTCAGATGTGTTTGAATCTGAGATTTACTCTAAACTCAGAGAAAAAAAAGTGAAATTTTGTTTCCATTGTGGCACCTTTGTTTCCTTTTTAAGTTTTCAAAATTTCTTAAAAATTATTTTTCCCTTTCATAATTTATTCAACAAGTATCTATTGTTAGGTGTTGGGAACACAAGACCTAAAACTCCTGACAAATATATTCTATTTCTGAGGTCAATTTGTACATTAATAAATGCATATATAATACCAGACAAGATTGTAATGCTAACCAGTTTGACTTTGAGGCACGGTATTCAGAATGTAAATGCCCCTGGAAAAAACATTGAATATAAATGCCCCTGGAGAAAGAATGTAGTTGGAAAAAACATTCTGAGGTAAAATTATGCAATATTGGTATGACTAATTAGAGTGACCAGAGGTTCACACATTTTTGTGACATGCCATTGGTAGAAAAAGAGCCATAGCTGAAAAAATATGGCAGTCATAAGATGTCAGTGGAAATGAAGACAAGGATACCTTTTGGTCAATTTTCTTGAAAATATTGGCTTTTTCAACAGTGTAGTTTATTTAAAATTTAGTCCCAGTTCTTAGCAATTATTTATATACTGATGGACTTATATCCAGGGTCTTCTTGAATTAAAAAAAGTCAAAAAATAATTTTATAAATTTAAAATATTATAAAATTATGATATATACAATTCTTGCTCTCTCTGTCATATTTTTCCAATTTTTTGTCTGTCTTGTTTTTTCTTGCCTTTTCTTCCCTGTCCTTTCCCTTTCGTTTCTTTTCTTTTTGTTTCCTTTGTCTGGCCTTGCTTTGAGTTTCTTTTCCAAACGAATTCACTGGAGGTGGTATTTTTATGCATAATATACACAGCAAATGTCTAGGGCCTCTCATTTTTTACAAATCTTTGTAAGAAAAGGCTATCTATTAACCCAATGACATTGTCATAACCTTTTCTAAATTTCAATGATATTCAGTTTCTCGCAGCTATTACATTACAAAGTATACCTCAGTAAAAATCTAGTAAGTCATAGGGCTGATGTTGCTGATTGCTCACTTGCTCAAGCCAGAAGCTTAGAATACATGCTTGATTCTTCACTTTCCTGTGGGTTTATGCCAAATCAATTTCAAATCTATAGATCTTATCCTCTAAATAACATACAGCATGCCTACTTTTTTCTCTCTCTCGACTACTGTCACATTAATTCAAAAGAAAAAGACTGATGATTCCTAACTTCCTGGCTTCAGTAATTGGCAACGATGACATCACTACTAAGGCTTCACTTCTCACCTCTGCTTCCATATGAGTGTAATGTTATTTTCTCCTATGACAGATAAGTTTATTTTTCACCATTAAAAGGTAAGAAACTCACGCATAACCAAAGTTGGAGGAGACAGTTATTTTTTTTCCCCAGCTTGCCTGTTAAAACCATAAGGAATGATTAATCTGCCATGGTGCTTGATGTGGCCCAGGGATGTGCTCAGACTCAGTCATGTAGGGGCAGGTGGTATTAACATTAGTTCAAACATGGAACCATGGCATGTGTTAGAAATAATGGCTTATATTAGAAACCGGACATAAAATTGTCGTGAGCAAGAAAGTTACCTCAATTTGAGTCTACTAGAAGTTTCAGAGTGCCATTTCACATGGCCACAAAGTTCAAAAGTTCCAAAAGAAGCAAAAGTTTGACCAAGAAATCAGTGATTTTTTAAAAAAGAGAAATTGAGCTCAATCATGTTTTTTATATCTTCTACTGTACTAAAAGTTTTTTTCTCAATAATTGACTAAAAGTTCATTAACTACTGCACAGACTTCAATATTTAGAAATGTAATACGGGCTTGCTAACTAAAAGTGAAGTTATTTTATTGTCGGAACTAGCTATTGTTAGAAAGACTCATTTGCTTTTTATAATACAATTTTACATATGATTTATAGATTTACAGATTATAACAATTTATAGATTATTACCTCATTAATTTATTGAATAACCTGACTAAATTACTTAGTCACTGAATTAAATACAACCCAGCCTTAATACTTTGGGTCAAGGAACATTGACCAAATATGTATTTATGCCACAGATTCCTTGAAATTTCTTACCAAAGTAAATTGTTTCATGAAAAATACAGAAATAAATTGGTAACTAAATAAAACATGTTCTATATTTCAACTTGAAAAATTAAAGAAATTAATAATTCTTAAAATCAAAGCAATGATCATTTGTTTCCTAATTATTATTATTGTGAATGTACTTAAAATTTTTGCTATGCTTTTAAGAAAGATGTACTTCTATTAAAAATTATTAAAATAAACAGCAGAGAGACTGACTTTTCAAAATAGTTTATCTGGGAAGAGCAATGAACTGCAATTTGGGATATGTGTACCGTACTGAACCATAGGCACATTTGAAAAAGCTGGGGGAGCCGAAGCTTTTTTAAGGGTAAAAGGTGAAGTTCCCCATCAAACTACCGTTGGCATTCTTCACAGAATTAGAAAAACCTATTTGAAATTTCATATGGAATCAAAGAAGACCCCATATAGCCAAGACAATCCTAAGCATAAAGAACAAAACTGGAGGCATCACACTACCTGACTTCATTACTGCAGGGCCTCAGTAACCAAAACAGCATGGAACTGGTACCAAAACAGACATATAGACCAATGAAGGTGAACATAGACCTCAGAAATACACCACACGTCTACAACCACCTGATCTTCAACAAACCTGACAAAAACAAGCAATGGGAAAGGATCTCATATTCAGTAATAATGTGGGAAATCTGGCTAGCCATATGCAGGAAACTGAAACTGGACCCCTTCCTTACACCTTATACAAAAATTAACTCAAGATGGATTAAAGACTTAAATGTAAAACCCCAAACCGTAAAAACCCTAGAAGAAAACCTAGGCAACAACATTCAGGACATAGGCAGGGTGGGCAAAGACTTCATGACAAAAATGCCAAAAGCAATTGCAACAAAAGCCAAAATTGACAATGGGATCTAATTAAACTAAAGAGCTTCTGCACAGCAAAAAAAAAAAAAAACTATCATCAAAGTGAACAAGCAACCTACAGACTGGGAAAAAATTTTTGCAATCTACCCATCTGACAATGATCGAATATCCAGAATTTACAAGGGACTTAAACATGCTTACAAGAAAAAGACAAACAACGCTATCAAAAAGTGGGCAAAGGATATGAACAGACACGTCTCAAAAAAAGACATTTACGTGGCCAAAAAACATACAAAAGAAGCTCAACATCACTGATCACCAGAGAAATGCAAATCAAAACCACAATGAGATGCCATTTCACGCCAATTAGAATGGAGATTATTAAAAAGTCAGGAAACAATAAATACTGGAGAGGATGTGGAGAAATGGGAATGCTCTTACACTGTTGGTGGGAAAGTGAATTAATTCAACCATTGTGGAAGACAGTATGGGCATTCCTCAAGGATCTAGAACTAGAAATACCTTTTGACCCAGCAATCCCATTACTAGGTATATACCCAAAGGAATATAAATCATTCTACTGTAAGGGAACATACGTGTATATATTTATTGCAGCACTATTTACAATAGCAAAGACATGGACCCAACCCAAATGCCCATCACTGTTAGACTGGATAAAGAAAATGTGGTACACATACACCATGGAATACTATGCAGCTATAAAAAAGGAATGAGAGCATGTCCTTTGCAGAAACATGGATGAAACTGGAAGCCATCATCCTCAGCAAACTAACACAGGAACAGAAAACCAAATACCGCATGTTCTTATTCGTAAGTGGGATTCGAACATTGAGAACAAATGGACACAGAGAAGGAAACAACACACGCTGGGGCCTGTTGGAGGTTGCGGGGTGAGGGGAGGGAACTTAGATGATAGGTTGAAAAGTGTAGCAAACCACCATGGCATACGTATACCTATGTAACAAACCTGCACGTTCTGCACATATATCACTTTTGTTTGTTTTTTGAAGAAGAAGAAGAAATAAAGAAAAAAAAAGGTGAAGTTCATGTAAATTATTTTAAAATAAACCTCTTTGGCCCCAGAAGCTTATTGCTTGGTATGGACAAATACTCATCGGTGATACTGGCTATTGCTGGGAAGATGTCTTCATAGAAGCGTCGTATCTAAAATTTTTGTAGTTTTCAGGGAGTCCTTGCAATAGTTCTTTTAGAGACATCCATGCATGAAGGGCCTTCTTTTATACTCTCCCAGCTCCATTTTGTTGTGGTTTGACTTCAGTGAGTCAACTTCTTTGCTTGTAACTTTAACATTTCCCCCCTTTGACCAAGAATTTTTTCTGAAAGCATTGCTGATTAATCAGCCTATAGTTAGGTTTTGATTGTTTCTTGGTGCTGGAGTGGACCTTTCCTAGTTAGTCTGATCCTGCATCAGAGGTGAATGGCCAGCAACTAAGAGCAGATGTCAAAACCCTTTTAGTCACATTTAAGAAACAAAGAGGTTCAGAAGGAGTGGCTCTCAGGATAAATCTGCCTGGAGTTCATTGCTAAGTTCAATTTTGTCAGTTCCATAGGCATTGACTACCATTTGGAAGTTCTGGACCAGTGTTATTCTGTTAGATGCATCATTTCTGCAGAGGTTGGACAGGAAACAGATAAAAAGTTTAAAAAGAATGATGCGGTACAAAATTAATAGTAACATGAAATATTGTCTATGAACATGGACCCAAAGGCAGCCAACTAATGAATCAAAAGTCTATGTGAGACTGAGTGAGATCTGTTGTAGCCATAAAGCCTGTCTTGCTATTTTATGCAATTAGGTCTTGACTTCCCCAGAGAAATATATTCAGGTACAGCATGTAGTTATTAGCAATGGCACAGACATTCTTGTTCAACCAGTAGATAATTGAGAGTTATCTCATCCTGTCCTGTTGTGTTATCTACGGCTACTCAGCAAGATACTTTAATGAGCACTGCTGGGCAGCAATAGCCTTTGCAGTGAAGCCTGCAACGAAACCCAAGGTGGCAAATAAATTAGGGATGTTGCCATAGTTACCCACTGGGTGGACTAAAGGATCCCTTAGGTCATGTAAAGATGTGGGTTTGACACGACAGATCCAAAACTTCATTCAGTTACGGAAGCTACTGAATGTGAAATTCTAACCACAGCGTTATTCTGCCAAGTGAAAAATGTAGGCATAAGCAAGAAAAAAAAAAAAAATAAGAAGGATAAGAGTCCAGTTTTGTTACAATGTCTTGGGAAAAGCTTTCCACACTGTGATGTCATCAACTTCTTACTCTGGTTTGTAGTTTGAATGTTCCTGGGTATAGCATGGGGCATTTTAGTCAATTCTCTTTGTAGCCCACACAATAGCCATGAGATTTCTCTCTTGAAATTTACATGGAGTTTTCTGGCTCCAACTTATAGGACTTTAGGAACAAGGCAGTTTATGTTCTTAGTTGGAGAATCGTAGCCAGACGTTGGAGGAAATTAGAATAATTAAGTGCCCTGTCTAATTTAGAGATAGATGACAAAAACTTGAAAACAACAAAGAAAACTACAATCTACTAACAGGTGTACTGCAGTTTTTCTTCAGAAACATAATTTTTCTCTGTACAATCATCCCTATTTCTACTAAAGATAATCAGAGTAAGACTAATTTGTCTGCTGAATAAGTTTAGTCTCATTAAACTTGGCATGATTATTGACAACAGTATAGCAAGAAAAGGGATGAAACATGGGCTGTTTTTAAGTTTATTTTGACGGAACTTTTGATAAGAAATCTCAGATTAGACTTTTAAAAGCCTTTCAAGGGTCAGAAGTCAAAGGAGGGCGAACATCAGACTTTGGCTGCAGTATCTAAAAATCTGCATGAATTTCTCTCTTCTTGAGGTCTCCAATATATCTGGAGGTTCCTGGCCTGTCAAGAGGTAAAAATGTTTATTCACTCACTGTGAGCTTGGGAATCCTTGAAGCTAGGCATCCTGTGCATAGTCTCAAATATCACATTCAAGTCAAACCATTTATAATATAACCAATGTTTGTAATTCTATCCTGTTACAAAGAGAATAGATTTTTATTGAATTAATGCAAATAACTATGTTGCCATAAAATAAAAATATCAATAAGAGCTCTCTGAAGACTGCAGCCGCAGGTAGGAAGAAAAAATAAATATTTCCATTTTTATTTATAAAAGTATACTTTACCAAATTGCTGTATGCTATAGATAGCTTTTTAAAAGTTTTCTCAAATCTGGAAAACAAAAAATTTAAAAAAAACAGCAAAATGTTAAACAAAAAGTCACTCGAAAATATTGCCATCAGTTTGTTTAGTCCCATTCATTAAACTTATTCTACTTGATCTGGGTTAGATGTTTTAAGAAGCCATCGTTTCTTCATTAGAGTCCTGGAAATTCTTTCCCAGTCCAGTGGTATAATCTTAAACTCATAAGAAATCTAAATTCCAGCATACTTGTTAGAGTCCTTTTCATGAACCTCCTTGAAGAGGAAGTATTTTTCTTTATTCATTTTAATTTATTCTCTACAATACTTCATTAGGGAGTTCAATGATTTGCACTCAGAAGTTAAATAGCCAAGAGGCAAGCAAGTATAATAAACTTCAGAATTGGACTGAGGTTGTTGCACTGAAGGCCATGTAGTCTTTTGCTTCAGGGAAATAACAACAAAAATAACCAAAATGAACACATAGCTCCCTAGGCTTCTGAATCTCAATAGAGAATAACATCAACATTTAATGAAATTGTAGATATTAACACATCATGGGAAAAAAGATACTGTGCAAAATATTATAATTAACACTTGGCACTTCTTATGTCTAGATTTTTATTATAAACAATAAAATATATGTAATATCTTAACTACAGACCTTTCATGTTGAAAGGGCATCTAACATAACTTGTTTTAACATTATGAAGGGAAAAAGTTTAGAAATTTCAAAGTGGAAACAATCCAACACTAACAAACTATAGTGATCAAAAGTATTAACTTTTAAAGAAAAACAAGGACAATTCATAAAAGTAGAACTACCATTTGATCCAGCAATCTTACTGGTTATCTACCCAGAGGAAAAGAAGTCATTACACAAAAAAGATACTTGCACATGCACGTTTATAACAGCACAATTAGCAATTGCAAAAATGTGGAACCAGCCTAAATGCCCGTGAATCAATGAGTGAATAAACTGTGGTATATATTTATGTGTGTGTGTGTGTGTGTGTGTGTGTGTATGTATATGTATATATATATGCATATGTATATATATATGTATATGTATATATATATGCATATGTATATATATATATGCATATGTATATATATATATGCATAAATACATATATGTGATGGAATACTACTCAGCCATAAAAAGGAATGAATTAATGGCATTCATAATAACCTGGATGGGATTGGAGACTATTATTCTAAGTGAAGTATCTCAGGAATGGAAAACCAAACATTGCATGTTCTCACTCTTAAGTGGGAGCTAAGCTATGAAGATGCAAAGGCATAAGAATGATACAGTGGACTTTGGGGACTCAAGGGAAAGAGTGGGAAAGGCATGAGGGGTAAAAGACTACAAATTGAGTTCAGTGTATACTGCTCGGGTGATGTGTGCACCAAAATCTCACAAATCACCACTAAAGAACTTACTCATGTAACCAAATACCTCATGTTCTCCAAAAACCTATGGAAATAAAAAATTTAAAAAATTACAGAAAGGGAATGTATTATGAGACAAGCCACGTTTATAGACCAAAGCATGCTCATAGCTAGGGATGAAACAAACCACAAACCAAGCCAGCAAAGTTGGGTTGATTCCTTGAAAAGAATGGTTACCTATTGTCCAGATTGAGTAGCCCAAAGACAGAGGAAACACTGAGCGTAAAACATTCCCTTTTTTTTAATTAGCCGGGCGTAGTGGCGGGCGCCTGTAGTCCCAGCTACTTGGGAGGCTGAGGCAGGAGAATGGCGTGAACCCGGGAGGCGGAGCTTGCAGTGAGCCGAGATCCCGCCACTGCACTCCAGCCTGGGCGACAGAGCGAGACTCCGTCTCAAAAAAAAAAAAAAAAACAAAACATTCCCTTTTTTTTAAACCTACCACTCACACCACATGCACTGATCACTCTCATCACTGCTTTGGTAAAGCATGTAGGATGCAGTTCAGTTTCAATTTGGAGCTGTTACCTCCCCAGGCAAAGCTGCCACACAGATGATCCAGGCTTGGTGTTTTTCCCGAGAGCCACCTGCCACACATTTTCATAAGGTGACCATGACTATGCACATCCAGGCTACTTCCTGACTAGGCCCTGTTCAGGAAGCATCCTGAGGTGTCCATTCCTCGTGGAGCCAAATAGTTCCCTTGGTTGACTCCTGAGTCCCCTTGGCAAGCCAAGCAGAATTCAAGCATTTCTACTGCTAGCCTTGTGTGGGAGCATGAGCGAATGTAAAGGGAGCAAGGCTCTTCACTCCATAAACCACAGCCTACTTCGGGGTGGTGCTGGACCAGCCCTATTCTTGGGTACTGAATTTCTTTTTCTCATTTGTTGGGATTTTAAATTTTCTATTTATTTTCTTAAATGGCAGGTATCCTACTGCATCTTCAATAAAATAAAATATATACATATATATGTTGTACACTGGAGAAAACAAATAGGGGAACAGTTTGATAGTTTAGCCCCATTTTTTGCTTTTATTTAACCTTTAGAAGTAAAACACAATTATTAAAACAGAATGCTTGAGCAGTAATAAGCGTAGCCCTATGTATCAATATTATTGTACAAATTGGATGTGGGTGCTTAACCCAGAGCTGACCACCCTGATAATAATCCAGAAAAAAACCATTGTTACATCTGTTTGTAACAAGACATTTATTATTCTCAGCACCAGGACATCATAAAATGACTCCTTGATCTTCATTTACTTCACCAAGGGAAACGTGGCAGGCTACAGAAACTCAGCACAGCAGTTAGTGGGGCTGTGCCCTGGGTGCCCTGATGTCACCCACATTTCCCTTGCACGTCTCAGGTCCTAATAAGCAGTGCAGGACAATGTTGAGCCAACCTACTCACCCGTGCCCATTCCTTCCCAGAAACTTAAAGGTGATCCCTATAATAGCACATATGTCCTTTCCCAAATTGTGTCTTTGCTCCCCTAACCCCATTCTTGGCAGAAGAAAAAACAAAACATCTCTTGACTTGAATATTTGCTTATTTTAGAAACCGACACAATCACCATAAACTTAAAAAAAAAAATAAATCAAAATGTTGTTTTCACTGGGTTGACACCTATCTGCTTCAAGAATTCTCTAAGCATGTTGTTGAAAACCAGTGTAACATCTTTAGGATCTTTCTCCCAACTGACCAGTCTTCCTGTGAATCATTTCAGCAGTTCCTTTGTGGCAATGTTTACAAAGCATCTTCTAAGTCCTCTAATTCTATGAGCTTTGCTATCAAAATAGTGAAGAATAGGAAAGGGGGAGGAAAAAACTAGCTGACAGCTGTTTGGAAATCAGCAACAATGTGAAAGAGAAATGTATCTCATGAAAGTTTGAAAGACATGGAATAAATGAGCTCCTTGGAAATTTGCCCTGGCGGAGTGAAGATTCCCACTTTATCTTCTTAGGCAAGATAAAGATCCACCTTATGTAATTACACAGCTTTGTTTAAGCATCCTGTAAAAGACTGAAAAATCAACTGTCTTCCTAACTCTACAGGCAAACTAGAAAAAGGATCTCCCTGCTTACTGGTCCCTCAGGATGTTTTCCTGAAAAGAAAACCAGCTTAGAGATACTGGATTTTCTTCTATGACAAAGTGTCCTCTTAAAGTCCAACCGAAACTTGTTTGCACACTTACACTTCTGAAAGCCTAGGTCCGACTATAGGGCTGATACCGGGAGAGAAGTGAAGTAGCTGGGTGGTGAGGAAGTGGTCTCTCCTTTCACATCTCTGTGCAGTCATGATATCAAGACCCCTTGTGGACATCTCTATTCCATTCCTCAGTCAGTGACACCACAGAGCTCTGTTTGATACCGGGAGACTTAATGCAGTAAAAGTGACAGAAAGTGCAACTGATAGTAGGATGAAAATTATAATCTTCAAGGATTAGTGAGCCATGAGATCTGCAATGCTATCGTAGGGTTTCTGATCCTGATGTGGGTCTCTGTCCAGGATCCTTGAAGAAATTATGGCACCCACATCCAACCCTAACATAGCTTCCACTTATGAAACAAGGAGGTTGTAATCAACTCTTGGTATGTAATAAACTGGAAGTTCAAAAATGTAATTTAAAACAATCTAAAAGAATGTAGTGTTGGTCTCCATTGCACAGACTGCTAGGGGAATATATCAACTTGATTTGGGGAGGCTGTAGAGGTATATAGAGGAGTATATGGGTTAAACCTTAATGGGTCATCAGTTTCAGAGAAGAAGCAATTTTTTATTGTAGCTGATGGCAAATGCTTTTGGAAAAGAATGAAAGCAGTCGGTCCCTGTGGATGACAGACTTAGAGTGGCCATGGTTAAAAATCTCATGGAGTTTATTATAATAATAATGTAATTGACAAAGAAATTTGTTTATTTCTGTGGCATACAAAACTTGAAGATAATAACCAAGATTATGACCGATAACATATCAGATTTTGAAGAATTCAATATAATTTTGTAACACATATCAATAACATTCTGAAATACAACTTAAAGAAGGTTTAGCACCACTTAGTATTTGACAATACTCCCTATATAATTTAATATATCAAGTAAGTCTCATTAGTTTAATATATCTCTTTACAATGTGAGATACACATTCTTTGATCTTTCCAGGGGTCCAAATGAGAAATATCAAAATTAACTTGAGGGCAAAAAGAGTTAATTTAAAATATTATTTTGGGAAGTTTGTCAAAAACATCAAACAGTTTAAAACACTTTATCAGAGTACGATAACAGGTAACCAAAATGAAAATTAAAAGATTTCAAAAAATAAATGTAGAAATTTACATAATTGTCAACAAAAACATAGCTTTTTAATACTGAGAACATTTACTTTTCTCTTTTTTTAACTTTTATTTTAGGTTCAGGGGTACACATGTGGGTTACTTACGCATTTATATGGGTAAATTGTGTGTCACGGGGTTTGGTGTGTAGATTATTTCATAACCCAGATAATAAGCATAGTACCCAGTAGGTAATTTTTAAATTTTCATCCTCCTTCCTCCCTCCACTCTAAAGTAGGCCCAGTGTCTGTTGTTCCATTTGTGTCCATATGTACTCAATGTTTAGCTCCCCTTATAAGTGAGAACATATGGTATTGGGTTTTCTAGGATAATGGCCTCCAGCTCCACTCATGTTGCTGGAAAAGAGATGATCTCATTCTTTTTATGGCTGCATAGTATTCCATGTTGTATATCTACCACATTTCTTCATCCAGTCTACCACTGATGGGCATTTAGGTTGATTCCATGTCTTTGCTATTGTGAAAAGTGCTGCAATGAACATACACGTGCATGTGTCTTTATGGTAGAATGATTTGTATTTCTTTTGGTATATACTCAATAGTAGGATTGATGAGTTGAATGGCACTTCTGCTTTGAGTTCTTTGAGAAATGGCCACACTGCTTTCCACAATGGCTGAACTACCTTACATTCCCACCATCACTGTATAATCATTCCCTTTTCTCCACAACCTCACTAGCATCTCTTATTTTTTGAGTTTTTAATAATAGCCATTCTCATTGGTGTGAGATGGTATCTCATTGTGGTTTTGATTTGCATTTCTCTAATGATTAGTGATGTTGAGCATTTTGTCATATGCTTTCTGGCCACATGTATGCCCTCCTTTGAAAGTGTCCGTTCATGTACTTTGTGTACGTTTAAATGGGATTGTTTGTTTTTCACTTGTTGATTTTTTTAAGTTCACCAGATGCACTGTGCTGGGGTTCTGTGATAGTCCCTAATTGCTGTGCACCCTCCCAAGCCTGAGAGCAGCAGGAGGGAGGGTTGCGAGACAGCAAAAAGGTGGACTGCCTCTCTCTTTGGGAGCTGCATGCCGGAGAAGTGTAGAGCTGCTCCCAGCTGGAGAACTCAGGAGGACTAGGGTGGCCTCACTAGCATCCCAGGCTAGTGGGCCTTATCCTACAAGGTTCAGTGGTGGTGAGGTCTGCAGTCTATCACTGCTCAGCCCCATGGACTTGGCCCCTTTTCTGGGGAGCGTGCAAGAAAACTTGGCCTTCCCAATTGCTGGAGCTGCAGCCCCTGGTTTTGGGGTACCCAGGGAACAAATGCTACTGGGACTCCACACCTACCTAAGAAGCAGCTCTACCCAGACTCCACATGGCTCTCTGTTTTGGTCTGGAGACCCCAGCTGGGGTATCTCCTGAGCCCAGGGATTCAAAGGTTCGTGGCAGAAATATGCATCCCACGGGACTCTCACTCACTCACCATTTTCTTGTAGGGGGATTCCCCTGGGTCTGTGCCACTCCTGGGTGAATGGTTGATCTGTCTCACTCTTCTCCGTGATCCGAAGGTCACACTATGTCACTGATGAATCCTTATGTGTCCACCTGGATGTTCCGGTTGAAGAGCTAGTGTCTCACCACTCTTTCTGCTATTTGTGAGAGTGGCACACACTAGCTGCTTCTAGTCAACCATCTTGGCCCCACCTCACTCACTTTTCTCAAGTAATCAAAGACCTAGTAAAAGAGAGCATAAAGCATAAGAAATTACCTTGATAAACAAAAAATCTTGGTTTATTAGGCCAGTTATCTAAAAGGTAGAGAAAACATTTCACTATTTTCTATTAAGAGCAGGTCAATACTCAAAGAAAAGCTTGTTGTTTCAGCACAGGGGACAAATTTCAAGTTTTCCATTCCTGTACTTTTGATAATAATGCTCAAGTTTTCAGAATATTTATAAATAATTTCCTTTTAACTTTAGCCAACTTGGTCACACATAAAATTCTTTTCACAAGATTAATCTTCCACAAACTTTCTATAAATTTGTCATCCAGTTATCTTATTCAGTTTTTGTCTATATTTTTTCTCTTTTTCTTTTTGGAACAGTAAGACATTCTACTTTTAGACAAAAAATACTCTCTTTTTCCCTTAACAAAAACACAACCTCTTACTTATAACTTTCTGTATGTGTTTTCCTTCCCTCACGTACAGATTTGTTTCCCTTCATTATTTCTAGTTTAAATTACTCTAATATTAATTTTAATTAACTCTTAGTAACCTTAATTTCTAGTGAAAATTAGTAAGCATTTTGAAGTGCATCATGTTAGTATTTTGCAGATGAACACCATCTCATAAAATAATTTTTATGCCTTTAATTAACAGGCCCAAATATGTTTAGCTTTTCCATAACATGTGAAACCAAGATGCCAAATTACGTATATTTTAAACTTCTGTTAAGCAATTGATATTTCAGTATTTTCCTTAGAAATGACTCAAATATTAAATCAGTAAAGTGTTACTTAATTTAATATAACATGATTTTAAGATTTCAAGTCACACTAAATTATTTTTGAAATTCTGACAACTTTATTATCAACCTTTTGTCAATGTATATTCACCTAATTCACTTGTTCTTAACAATTGTGCTTCAGTTCCTCCTTAAACACAACGATGAGTGGATTTATAGCTTTAAGACATTCATTATACATCTCAGTAATAGCAAGCTTGTTTCACCAGTAACTTTAGGTTTAAAAACTGTATCTGTACATTGTAATTAATGCTGACAATTCTGAAAATATTTGTTTTTATTTTGCCAACAAATTTTAAAACTAGCTTTGTCTGCCAAAGATTATTTCATCACATAAGCCAAAAGGCAATTGAGTTTCTGTTTTTCTGAGAGAATTCTTAGTTTAAACACTTATGTTTTCTCTGTAAGCCAATTAAGTAGAGCCGTTTATGAATTTTGGTAGAAAAAATTGTACATACGCACACACACACACACACACACGTAGAAAAATACAGACAGAGGAAGAACTTACAACTTGCATTAAGAATTGTTATTTGCCTGGCTTGCAAGTAGTTTTACTCCCTCTTTCAGACTATCTGTCTTTTAATGATCTGTTCAATTGGCCCATAAACAAGTGTTAGTTAGGCCACCCAAAATTTGTACTTCCAAAGAGATGATTTTTAGGTGAAGGAATGTAGAAAATTTAAATCTCAAAGGTACAGAACTTAAACACCACTATTTGTTGAGATGAAAAAAAGCATATATAGGAAGCCTTCAAAATGAAATGGTCAAGGGTGAGTTTACACAGATAGATAGATTTAGGTCTCTTCCTTTTGCTTTGTGAAAGCATCTAGTGTTTTAGGTGTCAGAGAGGGAGATATCCTTACAAAGCAGAGATTATCATTACAGGTTTACATTTCTTACAAAGAGTTTCAAAATAAACAGGTAAATGCCAAAAACATATATTTTGGTGACGGATTAATTCACTAGTTGGTCTATTCAACTTAACTTGTTTCCTAATGAGATTAAATTCATGCACAAATAACCAAACCAAAAATTAAACCAAAAGAATACTCACCAGAAAGGATGTCCTTTACAAGAGCAGATCCCCCAAAATGTAAGAGTTCACTGAAAAGGTGGGAGCTCAAACCAAGAGAGGACTTATCTCGCAGCATAAAGACAACTTGTACAAGTGAAGATCACAATAGGCTCAGGTGAGTATCATACACAATTTCAAGTATCGCCAGATACTTGAAAGCCTTCCAAAGGCTTTCTTTGTTACTGTTTGGATAACAGTGCTGTAACTGTAAGTAACAAAGAAGGCTTGGAGCCTTTGCATCTTGCTTCTGACATTAGATTATGTCAACTTAAACAACAGAGATACTGACTCTCTAAAATAAAGAGTGGAGTGTATTCAGGAAATAGCAGTAAATTGCAATTTGAAATACACATGCTATGGTGGACCTTAGGCACCAAAGAAGCTGAGGGACTGTATTAGTTTGTTCTAGCACAAAGAACTACCTGAGACTTGGTAATTTATAAAGAAAAGAGGTTTAATTGACTCATGATTTCATAGGCTGTACAGGAAACATGATTGGAGGAGGCCTCAGGAAACTTACAATGATGGCAGAAGGCAAAAAGGAAGGAGGCACGTCTTACATGGCCGAAGCAGGGGGAAGAGGGCAAAGGGGAAATACCACACACTTTTCAACAAGCAGGTCTCATGAGAACTCACTATCACAAGAACAGCAAGGAGGAAATCCACCCCCATGATCCAATCGCCTCTCACCAAGCCCCTCCTCCAACATTGGGGATTACAATTCGACATGAGATTTGGGTGGGGACACAAATCTAAACCATATCAGGAAGGCAAAAATCTTAAAAGAGAAATTTTATGTAAGTTTTGTAATAAACCTCATGGGCCAGAGAAGCTTGTTACAAGAGTTGGCAAATACTCATTGATAATATTGGCTGTTGCTGGAGAGATGTCTTCATAGAATTATCATATCTAACATTTTTGTGGTTTTTGAGAGAACCATTGCAGCAGTTCTTATTATAGACATATGTACATGAAGGCCCCTCTTTCATGGCCTCCCAGCTTCATTTTTTTATGGTTTGATGTAAGTGACTCCATTTTGGTGCTCACAACTTCCACATTTCTCCCTTTTGGTTGAAATATTTTTCTGAAAGCATTTCACACTTAAAAGATATAGATTGGCCGGGCATGCTGGTTCATACCCGTAATCCCAGCACGTTAGGAGGCGGAGGTGGGTGGATCACCTGAGGTTGGGAGTTCGAGACCAGCCTGACAAACATGGAGAAACCCCATTTCTACCAAAAATACAAAATTAGCTGGGCGTGGTGGCACGTGCCTGTAATCCCAGCTACTCAGGAGGCTGAGGCAGGAGAATCACTTGAATCCAAGAGGCAGAGGTTGCAGTGAGCTGAGATCACGCCATTGCACTCCAGCTTGGGCAACAAGAACGAAACTCCATCTCAAAAAACAAAAACAAAAACAAACCAACAAAAAATGAAATAATTGTAAAAACCAACCATAGTTCTCAGTAATGATAGTTTCATTTCCGTCAGCTATTAGTAGAGTTAATTAACTCCTATCAACCTCACATTTTCCATTTAAAAAATACAGGAGAAAAAGTTTGATGTGGGTTTAATGAGAAAATTTATATAAAATAGATCTAACTACTATATTTATCACAAAACAGATGCACAAACTATGTTTTTTTCCTCTCACTTGTTCTTATTTTATATATCATTTTAATTGAGGAAATCATTGAGCATAATGTAACAAATATTTTCATAAGTTATTATAAAGAGGGTTTGAAGGACTTGTTAGAAAGTGTCTGGCAGTGGAAAAAACATCTGAATAGAAAATGAAAATAGCATGTGAATGCTGAAATAGCGTATTAAATAGCTGCAACTCTAATATAATTTACATTTGGATTTTAGTATAGACAGAATACTTAAATTTATTTCTGCAGTCTTTTCAGTTGTTAAACATTTTATTGAACTCTTCATGTGCCTTTCAGATGTATTGTGCTTCAAGTGTGCTTGTACCAGCTTTTTCTGTTTAGAAATGCTTGAGTGTCTCCATTGTCAAAACGATCAGAAGGCAGTAATTGTATTTCCAATGTGAGGACAAACAATACTAGATATCCTGCGATCCTACATTGTAAAAAATATTCCCATCAAATGCCCCAATGGATAGCCACGTAAGTGATCATCTGTAATTATTTAGTCAAGAAATGAATATTTTACATGTAAATACTTTGAATGGCTTAATACAAACTAAATTTTTCAGAATGCAACCACTACGGAAATTGAAGAGAAAAAGTCTTTTTATTGTAGAAACTTCCCAGAGTCTTTCAATATTTACAAAAATTATGTTGCCAATGGCAATACCTTAGTTATTTGAATCACCAGTAGAACACACTATAAAAACATGCATTGTCACATCTGTACCCTGTCACATCCAGGATAACGATAATATTGAGATATATAACTATTTAGCCCTTATTTTAAAACATCAGGTAACAAGCATCAATCAATTTCTATCAAATGTTTCAACTTGGGTATTACAGCATAAGCAGAAATATACTGTTACCAATATCCCAGCCAATTTCTTTTCCTAATGAAACAATAAAACTGAGAATATAGAGACCATTTAGTAAAGCTGATATATATATATATGTTTGCATATGTGTGTGTGTGTATATATACATATAAATGTAATTAATACAGTAGATGAGGTCAAAGAAGCAAGTGATACACAACTTTTAATTTGGATGGGATGTCCTTGAAGATTCCTGTATTAGTCCTTTCTCACATTCCTATATGAAAATACCTGAGACTGAGTAATTTATTAAAGAAAGAGGTTTAATTGACTCACAGTTCCCTATGACTGGGGAGGCCTCAGGAAACTTACAATCGTAGTGGAAGATGAAAGGGAGGCAGGCACTTTCTTCACAAAATGGCAGGAAAAAGAAGGATGGAAGGAGGAACTTGCCGAACAGTTGTAAAACCATTAGATCTCGAGAGAACTCACTCACTGTCATGAGAACAGCTTGGGAGAAACCACCTCCATGATTCAATTACCTCCACCTGGTCTCTCCCTTGACATGTGGGGATTATGGGGTTTACAATTCACCATGAGATTTTGAGTGGGGACACAGCCAAACCATATCAACTCCTAAATCTTTTTTTTTTTTTTTTTTTTTTTTTTTTGAGACGGAGTCTCGCTCTGTCGCCCAGGCTGGAGTGCAGTGGCGGGATCTCGGCTCACTGCAAGCTCCGCCTCCCGGGTTCACGCCATTATCCTGCCTCAGCCTCCCAAGTAGCTGGGACTACAGGCGCCCGCCACTACGCCCGGCTAATTTTTTTTTTTTTTTTGTATTTTTAGTAGAGACGGGGTTTCACCGTTTTAGCCGGGATGGTCTCGATCTCCTGACCTCGTGATCCGCCCGCCTCGGCCTCCCAAAGTGCTGGGATTACAGGCGTGAGCCACCGCGCCCGGCCCAACTCCTAAATCTTAATACACTTTATTACTAGCTGATATGATTTGGATCTGTGTCCCTTACCAAATCTCATGCCGAATTGTAATCCCCAGTGTTGGAGGTGGGGTCTTGTGGGAGGTGACTGGATCATGGGGGCAGATTTCCCCCTTTGATGCTGTATCATGATAGCATCCTCATGAGATATGGTTGGTGAAAGTGTGTGGCACCTTTTCTCTTCCTCTCAGTCCTGCTTCTGCCTTGCAAGATTCGTGCTTCCACTTTGCCTTCTGCCATGAGTAAAATCTCCCTTTAGCCTCCCCAGAAGCAGATGCTGCTATGCTTCCTGTTCAGCCTGCAGAACTGCGAGCCAATTAAACTTCTTTGCTTTATAAATTACCCCATCTCAAGTGTTTCTTTATAGCAGCAGTGTGAGAACAAGCTAATACACTAGCCTTCTTGAATACATCTTAGCAAGCTCTCGAGCAGCGTAACCACATAGATTAGAGAAGGCCAAAACTGACAGATTCCCATCTTGACCAAAGTTTAATCATTCTTCTCCAGTCCCTCTTCTCAGGCCCAGTTTAACAAAGACGCCTGCTAAGCCAGTTCACTGAGAATCACTTCGCCCTTGATATCTTATCACTTTGGCATGCCTTTAACAATAATGCAGTTTAGCAAGAACCCCGCTCCCCGCCACCCCACCCCCCGCCACCCTTAATATCTAATTAGTTTCTATCCACTGACTCACTCCCTCAGCTCTTTGCTTATAAATTTCCAGCTCCATGCTGGGAGAAATTTTAGTTCAATCTCTCTCTACTATAGCTATATTATTCCCCCATTGCTATAGTCCTGAATAGTCTTCCTTGCTATTTTTAACAAGCATCCAGTGTACACGTTTCCTTTTGACAAAAGATAGTGTCCATATGTAGAGGGAAGAGGAAAGCTAACAAAATATAAAGTCATCCAAACCACACACACCTTGGACAAGCTTATCATGTGTGGGAATAAAATGCTGGAGGTGGGTTTGGCTTCCCCCAAAAAAAAAGTGTGTAGTTTGAAATTTCATATCAAGAACAGTTAAATTCCCAGATTCTTTATCATTACTGAATACCTTAGTAATTATTCTTCATTTAACACAACAGGAAATAGGAGATTTATTTTCTGGAGAGACTTGTCCAATTAAAGTGGGGATATGGTTGCTCCGTTGAGCAGAAATTTGGCTTATATAGACCCAAAGCTCAGAAAAAGAGTTATAGATCTAAAATGACAATCATTGAGACAATAAAGTTCATGGAAACCACGATGGGAAGCATCTACGTGGAAATAAAAAGTTGGATTTTCAGTAGAGAAATTGGTAACAATGTAAATTTCCTCTTAATGTCAGGTGAGAACTAATTCTGAAGTCAGAGGAGGAAAGTAGCCTACAACAAAGAGTAAGATCATCTTGACAGGATCAGGGAGAAAGATAATAGTTGCAAATGGAGACAGGTATATTGATTTAGTGCCAGGTAGTTGAAAGACTATGAGTGTAAAGACTTATATTTTCTCTGTGTTGCAGTAGCAAAGTCATCTGCAGAGAGAGAGAAGTGAGAAGGGAGAAGAGAGTGTCAGAAATTAGAGGATTGTAGAGATTGAAAAAGTTATGTCAGGCACAATTGAAAACCCGGTTTCCAATGGTGATCATCGTCTTAAAATATTATCAGTTTGTTTTCTTGCATGGCATTCTTCAGCAGCAGTCATGGACTGAGAAATATGCAGAAATCAGATAGTTGAGTTCATCTAGAGAAGAGGTTGCAATGTGCTTCTAAAAAGGACAAAACC
Organism: Homo sapiens; assembly: GCF_000001405.40. Lineage (NCBI taxonomy): Eukaryota > Metazoa > Chordata > Mammalia > Primates > Hominidae > Homo > Homo sapiens. The sequence goes on from NW_003315917.2 coordinate 751,642, forward strand.
AAAAGCAACCGAGGGAGAGAGAGAGAGAGAGAGAAAGAGAGAGAGAAAAATGAAGATGTGAAAGGGGATAGGTCAAAACTCAGTAATTTTTTTTAAGCAAAGGGCCAGATAGTAAATATTTTTATTTTGTGAGCCATATTGTCTCTGTAGGAAGTACTCAGTTCTCCCATGTTCTGCAAAAGCAACCATGGACAATAAGAAAATGTGGCTGCGTTCCAATAAGAATTTATTTAAAAAATAGGTGATGGATTGTATTTAGCCCAAGGGAAGCAGTATGTCAATTCTGGTTTTATGTTACTGGCAATTACATTTTAAAATATTCAGTAATTGAATCTACAATATCGATTCCCAACTATTGCTGCATATTAGTATCATAATAGAATGCCAGGTCCCAGAGACACTGGGTCAGCCAATCTCAATTGGGGCCAAGGCACTCATATGTATCTTTGGAACCTCCTCAGGCAATTCTAACATAAAGCCAGTGTTGAGAAGAGCCATTGTTAGTTTGCTTGTGGGAGTAACTGACCGCAGGAGGATCATAATGCTATAGGCAAAGGCTGAGGCACCAGTGGATTGAAAGTCTTAGTGAGGCAGGAGAACAGCTGCAGTGGGAATTGTTGCCACACTGAACAGACAGGAGATTGATCAAAGAGTGGTGTGCTTATTTAGTCATTTAAGAGGAATATCATGTTTTGTCATTATACATTTCGTGGGTTTGGTAAGCAGCCTCTAAAATTGCTCCATGTCACTTGTACCCCTGGTAGAGGTAACTCCTTGAGGAATCTTCTACTCTGTTGTCCTAGTTGAATTTATCTCACTTCACTATCAAATAGACTGTGGCAGAAGTGATGGATATCACTTCCAACATTAGATTGCACAAAGACTGTGGCTTCTGTCTTGGGAATCCTCTCTCTCTCTTTCATTGTAAGGGAAGCTGACTTCTATGTTGGGCGCTGCCTATTAAGAAGTCCACATAGCACGGAGCCAGTGTCACCAGTCACAGCCAGCAAGGAAGGACCTGGGGACTGCCCCCAGCCACATGATTAATCTTAGAAGTGAATCTTCCCTAAGTAAGGCTTTTAAATGATGGCAGCCTTATGAGAGTCCTTGAGCTAGAGGGCCTTACTAATTCTGATATAGTTCTTGACCCAGAGAAGTTGGCATAATGAATGTTTGTTGTTTTAATCCACTAAGTTTTGGAGGTAATATGTTAAGCATCAACAGATAACTAATAAAAGGAGTGATTCTGAGCAAGAAAGGCTTAAGTGGAGGGAAGCTAAGGTCGAATAGTTTATGAATATCATCCTGTAAGAATACAGGGCTTGGAGCTTTGAAGGTGGGAGCAGAAAAAAATTTATGTAAGCTTGTCATTAACAATATGACTAAAAAAGTTCATTATACTGAAGGATAAATGCTTACATGTGCCTCAGAGAATAGATGTTTTTATTCCCGGGAAGAAAGATAAACTTTTTCAAAAAACATAAAGATTAAGTAGGATGCAGTTTCCAGCTTTGGATTCTGACATTCAGGACATGGGGAGGGTGATGAGCTTCTCCTGGAGGACTGAATTTAGGACACAATCAAGTTCATGATGGAAGCCCTTATGAGGTAGAGAGGGAGTGCATCTCAGCTCTTTCGATTAATTAAATGATTGCTTGAATTGGAGAAGGTGTGGGTATTTTGTGTTGTTTGGGTGAGTACATTGGAATGGTTTTCTAGCATTCCTTTGAGATTTTCCACAGTATAAGTTAAGGTAAAAGAACATTTTTACTTGTTTCAGAAAGCATACTGAGGAAGCTTTAATGTTACTATTAAGTAGGTAGGGAAATGACCAATATTATAAACGCAGATTTCCAGCCTCTCCTTTTAATGCTTTCAGAATGATTCCACAAGAACCTTGAAAATGTTGAGTATTTATATTTATTTTATGCCCTTTTATTGTGATTTTTTTAATAAATAACTTTTTTTGGTAAATACTGGAAGTTAATATTCTATAGTTTAGAAAAGCAATTTTGAACACTCAACTAGTGAGCCCATATAAAACTACATAACAGCACAGAATATAGTAAAATAATAATATAATGAACTGGGAGACAAACTAGGCACTGTGTGCCAAGTTTTTCAAGGAAGATACAATTTCAATACCAATGAAATAAACTCCCACAAATTGATTTTTCTTTGTGTGCACTCATCAGTGTAAATACAATTAAGTAATAAAGCCTGTACTTGTTCAGGAAAGATGTTTTCTATTCATAGTCTGATATCTGGGTGCTTTGGTTTCTGATAATTTGTTATGTAAAAACCCTGCAAATTAAAAAAAAAAAAAAATCAGCAGCTCCAAGTTCATGGGCCCTTATCACAGAGGATTTAAAACCTGTGCATTTTCTTTAAACTGAGAATATTATTACATTTTTTAATCCAGTGATGAGACCATAATAGTTTTCTGAAATAATTCAGAATAATTATATACCTAAAAGTTAATTTGCATGTGCTGTAATTTAAATAAAAGGACAGTTAATTTTTGCATTACAAAACATGAAAAATAAAATCAAACGTTGCATCTTTACTTTTATTACATAAATTCCTTTACATTGTAGTGCCCCCTAGCACCACGCAAGTTTATAAACTGCTTTCAATATTAATTATGTTATTATAATAATAACTAATTTAAGAATGTATTATTAAAGTCAGTAATTTAATAATAATAATTTCAACAATATATGTGTCACAAAAATACCTGAAATTACAATTAGTATGTCCGGTTTACTGATGGGAATACTGTGGCTCAAAAACATCATCTCAGGCAGGGTGTGGTGGCTAACTCATGTAATCCCAGCACTTTGGGGGTCCAAAGCAGGTGGATCGCCTGAGATCAGGAGTTTGAGACCAGCCTGGCCAACATGGTGAAACCTCATCTCTACTAAAGTACAAAACCGGTCCGGCATGGTGGTGCACACCTGTAATCCCAGCTACTCGGGGGGCTGAGGCAGGAGAATCACTTGAACCCATGAGGAGGAGGTTGCAGTGAGCCAAGATCACACCACTGCCCTCTAGTCTGGGTGACAGAGCGAGAGTCCTTCTCAAAAAAAAAAAAAAAAATCATCTCACCCAAATCATGTAGCTACAAAGTTATGGTTTAGAATAATTCAACTATTTTACTGAAATCAAAACTTTTACTATTAACCAATCAGTTACACTCAGCTTTGTGTAACTGAATACCAAATAACATCATGTTCCAGTAATTTTCATTTGAGTGAGAAGGGAGCACACTGGTACCCTGGACACACCCAGATACACTAAATCAGAACCTCTAAAACTTGGTGACTGTAAAAATAATTTTATTCTGAGTCTGAAACATATGCTCCGTGTTTCTTAGCAAGTTTCTGCAGCACAGGAGTCAGGTGAGGGAAGGTAGCGCCCCACTCCTGGTTATGGAAGGCAGAGGGTGAGTTCTGCTGCACATATGAAGCTATGGAGAGAGCAAGACTGCATAGGAGCAGGGTACAGTCTCTGGATATAGAAGACAGATAAACCTGGGTTATAGTTGACCCAGTGGAAAATTATAGGCCAAGAATAAGTTTCCAGATACCTTAATAGAACTGGGCATTTGATAAATTTTGAAAGTTCTCTGATAACTCGTATGTGCAGTGTAGGCTAAGAACTCACGGAAACAATATAGACATTTTTTGCCTCTCAGGGATATGCAGACACCCCAGTTCAGATATGATGTCTTCATGATCATCAGAAATCCAGATGGCTATTATCTTGTTGCTTTGCACCTCCAAGTACTGCTGCTTGTCATGTTGCCCCATGGCTGCCCCAGATCTAGCCATCAGAGCTGCCTTTCCAAGAAGGAAGAAAGCACAGAGATAGGACATGCCCCCGGCATGTAAGTCAGCTTCTCAGAAGTTACACGCGTTACTTCCCCTTACACAACATAGGTCAGAAATTGGTCACATGTGTCATGCCCTATGTTAAGAAAAGATTGGGAATATAGCATTTATTCCTGGTGATCATGTGTCCGGCTAAGCATTAGAGGACATTTTTACTGATGGCGAAAGGGTCAATGGAGATTGCAGTGAACCAGCCATCTCTGTCCAATAGGCACTTTATTTGGTGACGATAATTACAGGAAAGGTAGCACTAGACAGTTTTAATTCATTGAAGTTATTTTGGGTTTTTCTTGTTAATTTGTTTGTTTGCTTATTTGTTTTATCCTTCAGAGAAATGCTAGAAATTTAGTAATTAAATTAAATATTTCATTGAACACAAAAGCATAACATTATGGAAAAGAGTAACTGTTGTTTGGTTTTATTTATATATGTTAGTGTTTATACTGACTAATCTCACCAATGGAGACAGACAATTTCTAAGATTTATTATAGGCATTGTGTTTGGATCTTTCTTTCAGAAAAGTAAAAATCAGCTTAACCCAAAAATTATTTTAATAATAATTGGCATATCCAGCTTCATCCATGTCCCTACAGCGGACATGAACTCATACATTTTTATGTCTGCATAGTATTCCCATGGTGTATATGTGCCACATTTTCTTAATCCAGTCTATCATGGATGGACATTTGGGTTGGTTCCAAGTCTTTGCTATTGTGAATAGTGCCGCAATAAACATATGTGTGCATGTGTCTTTATAGCAGCATGATTTATAATCCTTTGGGTATATATCCAGTAATGGGATGGCTGGGTCAAATGGTATTTCCAGTTCTAGAAGCTGGAAACCATCATTCTGAGCAAACTATCGCAAGGACAGAAAACCAAACACCGCATATCCTCACTCATAGGTGCAAATTGAACAATGAGAACACCTGGACACAGGGTGGGGAACACGACACACCAGAGCCTGTCGTGGGGTGGGAGGAGGGGGCAGGGATAGCATTAGGAGATGTGCCTAATGTAAATGACGAGTTAATGGCTGCAGCACACCAACATGGCACATGTATACATATGTAACAAACCTGCACATTGTGCACATGTACCCTAGAACTTAAAGTATAATAAAAATAAATAATAATTGGCATATCCAGAACCCTTTGCTGTCTTCTGCTACATTTGCACAAATTCACAGCTATTTGAATACCAGTCATTGTCAATCCTGGTCCTCTTTGAAAATACTGTTCCTTAGTTTTGCTCTCTGCCTAATTTACTTGGATTGAGGGGAAACCCAGGAATCAGTTGATTTGAGTACGTAGCCAATGTTGTAAAGAACTAATTGCTTTAACTTCTAATAGAAAAATATCACTATTTTTTTTAAAAAGTTACATAATTCATGTGTAGGAACATAATCCTTTTAGCCTAGAAGTAAAAAATGATATAGTCTTGCCCTATAGCACTGATCATGGCCATATATAATTTATAATAACCAAAATAATGACAATATTTTGGTACAGCATGCTCTATTAATTTGAATGCTCACGAGTTAACACATAATTCAATGTGATATGTATTAGGTTATAGAAAACCATGAGGTAAAAATCATAGGCTGCATTGAACTTTCTACTTCCCCAACTTTGCCTCATTATAGGGAGGGATGCAGCCCTAGAGTTCAAGAATTCCATAAAGACCAACCTGAAATTCTGGTGCCTGGCATCTTGTCACACCTTCTTCCAATACACAAACATCAAGGAGTGTAGAAGTTGAACATGGTCTGTTGTCACTGCCTCAAAGAATCCACTTCTAGCTTGTTCACACTAGGGTGTGAACATTTAAAGAGGGTAGGGAAGAACCACCTGGGTGGATTTTCACTGGGGATCTTATAATAAACTCTCAAAATCCCAGATTGAGACAAGGGAAGGGATGCTCAGTCGTATGTAATTAGGAAAAAGAGAGGGATTTTGAACCCACCCCTGCATCATCTAAGTCAAATAGAGCCAGTGTAACTGTTGGGACCGTTGCAGGTAGGGTGTGCTAGGTACCAAGCCGCAGTTAGGTAACCAATGACTTTTACAAGCTTATTTTCATCTCAGTACACCACATGCTTCATGTGCCACGTGCATGTATGTAAGTTACACATCTAAGATTATATTATTGGGTTACACTACCATGAATTATCTAAGGAAAACAGAATGATCATCATTGTGTGTGCAAAGACGACTTCTGAAATTAATACCAACAAGAGATTTCTTCTTTGCATATTTTCAAGCAGAAAGTGGACTAAATTATATCATTGGAGCATGACGTCTCAAAAAATATTTATTGCCAAATAATTCTTTACTGCTAAAAATTATTTATTGCATGAAATAGAAAAGATCTGAGACTGAAACTTCCATTTAAAAACATGATTTAAAAAAATAGAGTAATTACATAACAATTATGAAACTCAGATGCCAGAGTCAGAAATCAAGAAATTAACTATGTCAAGCAATTACAATATGATTACAAAGGCCCTTATATATTCATACAAGCTTTTTGCATTTTTTGAGCTAATTTTATGAAAAACATCAAAAGCCAGAAAACTAATGCTTAATGTATATTTTAAGGCCAAGAACAATATAGAAAAATTAATTTTCTCCTTAAAGTTTTTTAAGATATTTAAAGTAAACATTTTAAAAATTATTTAATCTGTGACCCAATTTGAATCACTTTGCTCTTCAGATTCCGATGTCTCCACAAAAATTCCGATGTCTCCTTGAAATTAGCTGATACATTATAAGAAATGAATGACTGTCCTGTCCTATTTGGGATACACATAAAAGTTACCCCAAAGGTTTAATTAGATAGTGAAGTACAAAAATACAGATTTGTAAAATATTACATATATAAACAATATAAATCTCTATTTTGACAAGTGACTTGATAAACTAGGTTAAATAATTGTTAATAGAGTTGAGTAAAGGCAGTGATGTTGGTAAACTAGTGATCCAAATGAAAAGAAAGTCGGCTGGGCACGGTGGCTCACGCCTGTAATCCCAGCACTTTGGGAGGCCAAGGCGGGTGGATCACAAGGTCAGGAGTTCGAGACCAGCCCGGCCAATATTGTGAAACCCCGTCTCTAATAAAAAATACACAAATTAGCCCAGCGTGGTGGCATGGTGCCTGTAGTCACAGCTACTCAGGAGGCTGAGGCAGGAGAATCGCTTGAACCAGGGAGGTGGAGGTTGCAGCGAGCTGAGACCACACCACTGCACTCCAGACTGGGCAACAGAGTGAGACGCCATCTCAAAAAAAAAAAAAAAAAAAAAAACCAGAAAAAAAGAAAGTCTTGATACATGGTGTATGCTGCATGTATGTAAGTTACACTTCAAAGAGTAAGTCCTCCCACCATAGCTGTTTTCAAGTTATTACCATTTCAAGATACTAACTCCTGTGAATAGGAGGGTGAAGTCTTTAAATTACAGGAAATTTCAATAAAAGCCTGAGGCAAAGATATTTCAAGGGTTTTGGTTAAACAAAAGACACATTGGCTGGCATGAACAAGAGGAATGCACTATCGAAACCATCTTAGTCAATGACAGGAAGACAGTGTTATGAGTCTACTGGTTACAGAAAATCTTTGTTTTAAAAACTCAGGTTTATCGAATTAAAATTTATATATGCCAAAAGTCATCTTTTTAAGTATGCAGTGTGTTGAAAACATAGATGGTTATATAACAAATACCATCCTCAAGATATAGAACAGTACCATCACCTAGAAAAATTCCCTTTTGTGCCTTTTGAATCAGTATTTCTGCTGCCCTCAGTCTTTGGAAATCGCTGTTCTTTGTCCCTATGGTTTTATATTTTCTAGAATGTCATACACAAGGGAGCAAACAGCATCCTGAATAGGCCTTTAAATCTGGCTTTTTAAATAGCATAATAAATCTGAGACACATTCATGTTGTTATGTTATCAGATTTGTTTCTTTTTCTTCCTAACGTGATATTAAATAGATACAGTATATAACTTTTTGACTATTCACCAGTTTTTGAAATTATGAATCATATGGTTAAAGTCACCAACAGATATACATATGTATATTACATATATGTATATAGTATACATATAAATCAGTGGATTCTTCAATTTTTTTATTGTCAAAATGATTTTTCCATTATAATTCCTTTGCTTCTCTGTTGAAAGTTTTAGAATGAGCTTGTTTGTTAGTTGCAAATATCCTGTTAGGAATTTTAACTGGATTGAATTTTTGTATTGAATTTTTTGATTGGTTTGAACAGAATTAATTTATTGTCAATATTGGCTACCAAGCTCTTTACTTATTTACTTCTTCTTTGATTTCTTTTACCAGTGTTTTTTTAGTTTTTGTTACCCTTTCTCCATGTTTTTTTAGATTAAGAATTTAATGTTTCTTGTGCTACTTTAAATGTAACTTTAAAAAATTCTAATTTCCAATTGTTCATTAATAGTGTTGTAAAGTAGCGGGTCCCCCACCAGGGAATTTAAGGGCATATGTTGACTGCTTGAGTCCTGAAGGCTAGATGGTGAGCAAAGTTCATGGTGCTCAGCCGAGGAGCAGATGTCCCTGAAAACCAAAACATCCGGGAGCATATCTAGGTACATACCAAGAAGAACAGTTTCATCACATGTAGTAAGCAAAGAGCCAGAAAAGTAGCTTTGGCCGGGCGCGGTGGCTCATGCCTGTAATCCCAGCACTTTGAGAGGCCAAGGCGGGCGGATCACGAGGTCAGGAAATCAAGACCATCCTGGCTAACGTGGTGAAACCCCGTCTCTACTAAAAATACAAAAGATTAGCCGGGCGTGGTGGAAGGCGCCTATAGTCCCAGCTACTCGGGAGGCTGAGGCAGGAGAATGGCGTGAACCTGGGAGGCGGAGCTTGCAGTGAGCCGAGATCCCGCCACTGCACTGCAGCCTGGGCGACAGAGCGAGACTCCGTCAAAGAAAAGAAAAGAAAAGAAGAAAAGAAAAAAAAGAAAAGAAAAGAAAAGTAAAGAAAAGAAAAGAAAAGAAAAGAAAAGAAAAGAAAAGAAAAGAAAAGAAAAGTAGCTTAAAAGCAGCTTAGAGGAAGATGGTGGGCAGCAGGCGGATCTCTGGAGTTTTATCCCGCTGCCCTTTACGTAAGTCCTAATAAACTCGTCTTCTCATGAAGCTGGACTTGTCTGAGTCCTTCTTTGTTATTTCAGCACTATCTCTTTGGCAGAGGGATGTTCTTCTACACAGGTCTGGGTTTTTCCTGCAACAATTATATATAAAAAATAATTCTGTATATTAGCATTATAGTGTTATAGTGCATAGTGTGAAATTACAAAACTCACAATTTATTTCTAGTAGCTTCACTTTTAATAATTTTAATTATTTTGTACTCACAATTTATTTCTAGCAGCTTCACTGCTAATAATTTTAATTATTTTGTACATAATGGAATACTGTGCATAGACCATCCACGAAACAAATAGAGTTTTATTTCTTCGTATCCAATTTGTATGCCTTTTGTTTATTTTTCTTACTTTAGTACACTGGTTAAAATTTCCAGTATACAGTTAAATAGTTCTTGAGGACAGGTTTCCTGTACTTCTTTTCTTCGTGCCTGTGTATAACGTATATTTAACTATATAATACATACAACACAACTATGTTTGTCTTCATATAATTTTTTACCTTTTTTTTAGTTTGTTTACGTAGCCCCTATATCTCTAGAAATGTTTCTTGGATTTACGATTTGATTGCCTTCACTTCTTTTGGAAAATTCTCATTCATTTTGTTTTTAAGTATTTATCATCCTTGTTCTCTTTCATGAATCCGTTCAAGTTAGGCATCCAGAGCTGTCCTTCAGCTCTTGGATGCCATGTTCTGCTATTTATCACTCTTCTTGTTTCTTACTTGTATTTGTTATTCAATTTCTATGTTTTTTATCTTCAACTTTACTGTTCCATTCTTTATTCATATCAAGTCTTCTGATGAATTACTTCATTGGTGTTTGCATTTTGAGGTAGATACAACAGTATATCTATTGAGACATTAATTAGTGCAATTAAACCGAAGTTTAACACATTTTAAGTAAAAATTTATCCCACTATCGCGTAAAACTTGTGAAAGTTAAAGTCATCAGCACTTAATATTGTCTGTCATGCGAGGCAATCGGCACTCAAGTGGCAAATGCACTCATTTAACTCTAAATTGGTACTTTAGTTAATCTCTCATATTGATTTTTTTAACCCTTAAACACTGGCAAAGAGAAGCATACACCTAAAGAGAGATTTTTTACATTATTGTTTATTTAGTTAGTTTTTAGAAACAAGGTCTCCTCTCTCTCTCAGGCTGGAGGGCTGTGGTGCAATCACAGCTCACTGCAGCCTCAAAATCCTGGGCCCAAGCATACCTCCCACCTCAGCCTCCCAAGTAGCTGGGATTACAAGTGCCTGCCTCAGTACCCGGCTACTTTTAAAACATTTTTTGATACACATAGAGTCTCAGTTTGCTGCTCAGGCTGGTCTCAAACTATTGGTCTCCAGCAATCCTCTTGCCTCAAGCTTCTAAAGTGCTGGGATTACAGGTTAACCAGGACACCTGGCCTAGAGGTTATTTTTTGTTGTTTTAATTTCTTTATTTAATAGTCTGTGTGTTTAAATTTTGTTGACAATAATCTTAACAGCAACAATAGTATCTACTTGAAAGGTATGCATTCTATATATAATTCCTTAGATATAAATTTAAGTATAAATATTTGAAAACTCTTTAATTTTTTAATATTGTGTCCCATTTCTTAAAAAAGAGAGAAGCTATATTAACTTTTGAATTCAGTACACAGTTAACAGTTCTTTCATTTAATATGTGATAATATAAATTTAACAGTGAAACTTTCAAATACTCATATTAACTTACCCTGATAGATTTTATAGCTTTAATATAAAACTTCTCATAAATGTAAAATTTGACAAAGCACAATATTCTCCAGGAAGTTAGAAAAGTAATATAATTTTCTGTCTCTCAGAATGTGTTTTCTAACCTCTAAATATAAATTGATGGACTAATCTTTTAAAATTCAGAATCAAATATAATTGCTTTGGTTTGATCATTGAGAATTCTTTTTCCATTCCATCATTTTATAGTTTTTGCCTAAATAAAATACTTAAGGAAGTTATTGTTATGTTGTATTTGAAAGATGCCTGATGGAGAAACATTCATAGTTCTTTTCTATCCTCATGAAAGGTTATATGAAAACATATATATATGTATATATATAAACATGTGGATAAAGTACAGAAAATCCTATCATTGCCTCTGACTCAAATGGTAATCTTTAATATAAAGATTTGAAACTTTCATGGAACAGTATATCAGAACTTTATTTCCAATTTGTTTATGTATACTTAACGTATATCCTAAGTATCAAGAAATCACATTCAATTAACATATACATTATAAAACAATTCCTATATGATAATTCTAATAAGTAAACATGATTTTAGTGGTAGTAATTATTCAATCAAATATTCATATTTTAAAGATTAAATCTTCATATTTTAAAGCACATTACATCAGTTTACAATTCGATATTGACTACTGGATAGAATTTATCAATGAAATTTTGAATATGGCATGGTTAATGCAGATCATGTGAATTAAATTGCAAGGCAGAGAGCTTTTAAATTAAAAAAATAAGCTGGTTTATAAATCCAGTGCTAGACAGTTAATAAAAGCAATACATATAAATCTCCCAGACACCTCCCAATCTTGGTATTTTGAAATATTTTCCTCTTTTTAATATTATTTAAATAAAAAAATTATCTGCCTTTAAGCAACAAAACATGAACTCTTGGTAGAAAATTCACTAATTGACATAGGTATCTAGACTTATAAACCTGTAAAAAATGTGAAATAGAAGGCATAAAGTATTTGAGTCAATAAATTACTAACTAAATCTTTTTTTTTTTTTTTTTTTTTTTTGGGACGGAGTCTCGCTCTGTCGCCCAGGCTGGACTGCAGTGGCGGGATCTCGGCTCACTGCAAGCTCCGCCTCCCGGGTTCACGCCGTTCTCCTGCCTCAGCCTCCCAAGTAGCTGGGACTACAGGCGCCCGCCACTACGCCCGGCTAATTTTTTGTATTTTTAGTAGAGACGGGGTTTCACTGTTTTAGCCGGGATGGTCTCGATCTCCTGACCTCGTGATCCGCCCGCCTCGGCCTCCCAAAGTGCTGGGATTACAGGCGTGAGCCACCGCGCCCGGCCTTAACTAAATCTTTTGATTAAATCAGCTTTATAAAAAAAGTAAACGTAAACACATAAGTCTTTGTATAAGCACCCCTACATTTTTAAAAGTATATTTGCCTTTTCATAAACTCAGTTGAGTAGTGGTAACATTCATCATCACAACTTTTTAGAGGCAATGAAATTGATGTCATTTGAGGTCTTCATCTCATATTTATCTTTTATTTTCTTATTTTGTCATGTTTAGCAAAGGATAGTAAAAGTAGAGGATCATTCAACCCAGAAATACAGGGAAACTGATCCTTGTAAATAGCACCCTTTATAGACTCATGGATATTTTAAGAGCAAGATGTGCTAGAAAGGAAAATAAGGCAATCTCTTAATGCTGTGCCTTTTCTTCCATTACATTTTTAGATTATATATTATCCCTTGTTTATTTCTGTAGCTGGGGAAAATATTTTTATTGAAATAGATTGTTTTTTGAAGTTTGCTATATTAGGTAAAAATAAATACCAAACTTCTCTGTCTTCAGTTTAATAGAAAAAAAAAATCCCTTGTTACTCTGTTTCTGCCTTACTGTTAGTAGAAAGATTTATGATTAAGTAATTTTAGTAGGACAACATTAAGAACAAAAACATGAACCAAAATACTTTTTAAAATAAATATACACATTTTTACTATATATAGACACATATATAAAAGTATATATACATATATGTATATATGTGACTTCAATAACAGGAAAATAGATTTTCCAGATTAACAATCTAAACATCTCATCCATAACAAAAGGTTAGGCTCTATACCAATGCTTGAATGAAAACTGTAATATCATCCATTTAAAAAAATGCCAACACATGCATAATTTTAGGCTGTAAAAATGAAAATATTTCAGAATTGATTAACAAATGGTGGAAGTTAAAGTTGTCTCTTCCCGACCTGCACTTTGTTTTCTGTCTCTTGCCTTTTCTCACATTTTATTTTTCCTTCCTATCTCAACAATATACCCCACCTGCAGTGTGCCCAATGTGGACACATACCTGCTTTTTTCAGGCACTGTTTTGGACAACATTTCCCTACTGAGCATTAAATCACTTTTTCTTAAATACGTACTAAAGATTTCCATGGCTGAAAAGCTAGTTCCACATACATTAATAATCCTTGAAGAATTAAATCAGATACAACCTCTACATCAGCACAATATTTCAAGGTGGTAAGGGAGTGCTACTGCTGGGTTCGTCTTCACTTAATAACTTTATTAATGATGTGGATGAGTGAACAAATATGAAAAGAAAATTTATAGGTATTACATATGTAGATTCTGCAGAAACAAATAGGCTGGAAGGTAATGACTGTAGAATGACCTAGAGAGGTTAAAAAAAGAAAATAGTAGTCCAATATTATTCCACTTTTAAGTAAATGAGACCATTAAGCTCTTTAAAATAACCAGTAAATAAAAACTCAAAGCAATGATAGCTACATCAAAAAGTGAGGGAAGAGGGGAAATTATATGTTGCAATGTTACAGAGTACATTAAAGCATTCAGTATATTTCCTGAAAATTTCATAAGCACAGTTCTTAATGTTTATTCATAAATAAACAAAACCACACCAAAAGCCATAGTTCATTTGTTTCTAACTAAGAGTACAAATTATTTATGCGGAAAAGTACATATAAGCTCACATAAATAACACGAATAATGTTTTCATTGTGAAGATATTCATAACGTTCAAATGACAAGGTCTTAGGAACTCTGCACCTTCATTAATTTTAATCAATATTTAACAATCAAGATTGTTTTCAATAAATCATGATCTAATAATGAAAGGGGGAAACTATTTGTTTTAACTTTCATTTCAGTTTTACCCTTTACTCACAAGTTGAAATTCATTCTCACTCTTTGCAAACTATTTTGAAACACTTCCAGGTAAAATTCATATAAATATTTTATTTTTCCTAATTTTTGGAAAAATTTTAGACTATTACAATCTGAGTTAATAGCCTAGTTCCTTTGTTGATCCAGTGTAAATAAATATTTCTCTTTTCTTGCTGTATTAAAAAACCCACAGTCTCTATAGCCAAGTCTATATCTATATCGATATCTATCTGTATCTGTATCTATCTATGTGTATCTCTATCGATGTATGCATACACAAATAATATCTGTGGAAGAATTTTTTTTCATGTAGTGTAATATCCACAGCTCTTCTACTTTAACCATAACTCAAGTTAATAACATTTTATTGTCTTTTGTTAGTTTTACCTGGAAAAGAAAGCACATCATATACAATATTATAAAATAGAAATAAAACTAAATATAGTGTTTTAGAAGGTAACAAAGTTTTATGTTTAAGGATATTAAATAAAATCTATTTCTTCCAGTATATTTTTTCACAATCTGTCTTAAATGGAATCTTCAGATATCTTAACAAGTTGACTACTAGATTTTGTAGTGTATTCCAATCAGATATCTATCTGAGGCCACTCTTTTTTTTAATAATCTAGGCTTCTGTAGACAATGTGGAAACATTTTTAAAATGATGACGCCCTCCTTTTCCTTCGTAGCTAAATTAGTACACAAAATTCTAAATATTTCCTTAGTTTTAATAATAATAAAGCAATATAAGATTCACCCTCTGTATTCAATTCTTTGTTACCAATTCTGCTATAATTAGAATTTTTGAAATTCTTAGTTATAACCTTTATTTTTGATAATTGCATTTAAAATGCAATGATAAAGCAAATAATTAAAATGCTAGGAATAAAATTGTCCTTTATTAGTTTATCATAAAGTTCCATAAATTTCAGCTCTCCTTGATTTCTCACTATTCTAGTTCATCAATTTTGTAATTAATCATTAAACATTATTCTTTCTCTATATTAAAAATATTAGCAATTAACAAATCCCTATTTAATATTATATTCATTGTTTTAGTTTGATGCTTTTTTTTTTTTAGTGATATGTACAGAAGACAAAAAAATGATGTGCAGCCTTTGTGTTCCATTTATTGTTGCGTAAAATAAAATTTCATCAATCTTGGATAAAAATTCTTAGGCCTATGATTATATTTGAAGGAAACACTAACTTCTGACATGATTATTTAGAACACACATTTTCTTAACTTGTCTTCCATTTTAATGGAGCTATAAATAGCTTTGGCAAATTTTTCTGCTTTGCTGTTAATTTAACTCAGTAGATTTATTGAAATTTTAAGACACCACGTTACGCAAGATTTAGGGTATGTGACTACTCTTTCCTCCTGTGTGGAGGTCGACATTGCCACAGTCTAATATCATAGTTCCCCTAAGTGGTCCCCTCCCAGAAGTGAGTTGCAAGTTCCTGCTGACTTTCAGAATTATTTCTCCATGTTTATGTCATTTTGATGCAAGAGAGGTCAATACACAGGTATGTCATCAAAATAATATTTAGACTATGTCATTCCCACAAAAAACAACTTATATGCCATGTTTTACTCACTACCAAAGTCTTGTTGAATACTACTTGTTTCATTCCTCTAGCCAGGAGACAACCTGGCAGGTATACTGCCTGAGCACCAAGAAGTTATCATATAATTTGCGTTTCACTGACCTCTCTTACCTTGTCAAATTACCCACAATAATTTTGGTAAAGTTGCATCTAACTTGGTATGGACTAAAAATACTTGCGTCGCCCCCAAAATTTGTATGTTAAAACCCTAATTCCACTGAGATGATATTTGGAAACAGGGCCTTTGGGAAATAATTAGGTCATGAGTCTCTCTCTCTCTTTCTCTCTCTCTCTCTCTCTCTCTCTGTCTGGTCTCTCTCTCTGTCTCTTTATGAGGACATGACAAGGAATGGAGGTTTTACCTGTAACCATTGACTGGCACCTTTATCTTGGACTCTCAGCCTCCAGAACTCCGAGAAGTAAATTTCTATTGTTTAAACCAGTCAGTGTATGTTGTTTTTGTTGTTGTTATAGCAGCTTGAATTAAGACACAATTTTCCTAAAACTTAAAAATGTCAGATTGGTGGATAAAATTGTATTTCATTGTGCTTTTTTCTTCAAGCCTTATACCTCTGACTCCAAACTCATAGTAACCAGTGTAAGACATGGTAGAATCTTTCCACTAGTGCTTGGGACACTATTTATAGTATCTACCCAATCTAATTTTAATGAAAAAGTTGAAGGTTGGTATAAAAAAATGTTTATCATCTAGGAGTTCCAGGCTCAATTCAACATACTTGTGATGGTCTCATGTAGTAGCAGTGACAGTCAACTACAAATGGTGCCTGAACAGGGACATTTCAGAGACTATCAGGGACATACAGAGACCTGAAAGGACCTGGAGGGACCTGAAGAGGCCTGCAGGGATAAACAGAGATAAGTGGAGGTAAGTACAGAAAAGTAAGTAGAGATAAGTAAGTAGAGAAAAGTAGAGATAGGTAGGGAAAGACGGGGACTTGCAGGAACTAACAGGTACCATAGGGACAGACAGAGACAGATAGGAATAGATAAAGACTAGCAATATAAGGTCAGTGCCCTGAAGAGGTACTGGTCTGTGTCCTAAAGAGGTACAAAAGTAGAGACTAGCAAAGACTAGGAGAGATTTGGAGGAACAGACAGGGACAGATAGGGACAGATAGGGTCCTATAGGACTAGAGCGAGGAAGGTCTGCTGGAACAGAAAAAAACTAAAACCAACTAGATGAACGAGAAAGCCCATTACAACTCTGTTGGCAGCGACATAAGGTTAGTGCTCTAAAAATGATGGATGAATTTTCAGAATTTATCTAATTTTCTCCTCCATCAAAGTTAAAAATTAGCTGTTTGATTTACTATACTCAGCTAAAATTCTCTGGCATTTTATCTTGATATTACTGACATCCTGGAAGGAGTATCTTGTTTGTTTGGCAAGTGGATTTTTTTAAAAAAATAAATTATTGCTTCATAATTTTTATTGTTTATATTTCAAGGTTATGAAAAATGCCCTTAAAAGATAAATGGTATATATATATATATATATATATATATATATATATATATAAAATATATATTTTAATCTGCATGTAGTATACCTGTTGTGACAAAAATAAACGAAAGCTTAATTTCTTGCCAAGTTGTAGACTATTACAGTATATTATTTTAAGCATTATGCTATACATACTTCTTTTGAAAATTTATGGAGTACATGAGATGTTTTGATACATGCATAATAATCACATCAGGGTAAATTGAATATGCATCACTTCACACAGTTATCCTTTGTGTTACAAACAATCTGATTATACTCTTCTAGTTATTTTTAAATGTACGATTAAATTATTTTTGACTATAGTCACCCTGTTGTGCTAGCAAATGCTAGGTCTTATTCATTCTTTCTAACTATGTTTTTGTACCTATTAGTGTGCCCCGCTTTCCTCCCAAACCCTCACTACCCTTCTCAGCCTGTTAACCTTTATACTGTTTATCTCCATGAGTTCAATTGTTTTAAGCCTTAGCTCCCACAAATAAGTGAGAGCATCCGAAGTTTGTCTTTCTGCGCCTGGCTTGTTTCACTTAACATAATGACCTCCAGTTCTATCCACATTGTAGCAGATGACAGGAACTCATTGTTTTTTATGGCTGAATGGTATTCCATTTTGTATATGTACTATATTTTCTTCATTCATTCATCTCTTGATGGATACTTAGGTTGATTCCAAATTTTGGCTATTGTGAGTAGTGCTGAAATAAACATGGAGTGCAGATATCTCTCTGATATACTATGTCCTTTCTTTTGGTTATACACCCAGGAGTGGGATTGCTGGATCATATGATAGCTCAATTTTTGCTTTTTGAGAAACCTCCAGACTGTTCTCCTTAAGGGTCATACTAATGTACATTCCCACTGACAGTGTGCAAGGGTTCCTTTTTCTGTATATCCTCGCCAACTTTTGTTATTGCCTGAATTTGGGATAAAAGCCATTTTAACTGGGGCCTCTTAACTTTTTCCCCACACATTTCTTAATTCCTTGATGAAAAATGCTAAAAGATAAGTCACTTTCATACTTCCTAGATACAGTTATTCATTCACTCTTTTATTTTTTTAAGTTTCTTATTTAATAGATATGTATTAAATATTTACCTTGTCTCAGCCAATGTAATGTGTGACAGGCATACAAAGATGAATATAGCAGAAAGTTTATGCCTCTTAAGAAGCATAATGAAGTCATTTAAACAAATAATAGCTACAAATTTTGATGAGCACTGTCATAGAGGTAAGAATATTATGGTGGGGTGGGATGGAAGAAATTAAAATATGTCAATCTACTTTGCGTTGTAAGGAAAATCTTGGCAAAGAAGATACATGTTATGATTTGGCTCTGTGTCCCCACCCAAATCTCAACTCGAATTGTAATCCCCATGTGTCATGGGGAGGGACCTGGTGGGAGGTGATTAGCTCAAAAGGGTGGTTTTCTATGCTGTTCTTGTGATAGTGAGGGGGTTCTCAGGAGATCTGATGGTTTTATAAGTGGCAGTTTCCCCTGCATGCTCTCTCTCTTACCTGCCACAGTGTAAGACTTGCCTTGCTTTCCCTTCACCTTCCACCATGATTATAAGTTTAATTATAAGTTCACTTATAAGTTCAGCCATGTGGAATTGTGAGTCAAGTAAGCCTCTTTTGTTTATAAATTATCCATTCTCAGGTAGTATCTTTATAGCAGTGTGAAATGGACTAATAAGATAAACTTCAATAGAATACTTAAGAAGTTGTGGTAATCAACTAGTTTATGAATGGAAAGAATCATTTTATCAAAGGAAATTAAGAGCATAACAATGTGGCATTAAAACAGATTAGGGAGTTCTGAGGGTTGTAAGGATGATGGAACAGGTACATAATAGGACAATATGGGAGAATAATTAAAGAAGTCCTGAGGGTAGGTCACTGAGGCCTTATATGTTATAAAAGGGGGATTTTACTCTAGGAATTGGGAAAGTGTTTGAAGAAAGAGAATAGTGTGATTATATTTGCTTTTTAGTTTGAAAAGAAGTAGCCTGGAAATGAATGAGATTACAGCCAGAGAAGAGAAAGAATATATTTTGATGAAAGAATATATTTGGGTACTGATACAATAGTCCGGGTTAAAGATGATTTGGACCCTGGCACATGGAGGATGCTGTGGGGTCATAAAGGAAGAAATGGTAATAAAAATAACTAAAGTTTTATTGGATGAAGTTTTCAAGCCAACAAAGCATAAAACACAGACACAAAAACGACGTCTAAAATGATTTCTTAGTTTCTTAGTCATGTATTAGGTGTCAACCAAGACAGGGAATACAGACAGAGCAGTAAAGAGTTCAGCCCCAGACTCAATCCTATATGTGATTTTTGGGCCCATCCATAAACAATGACAAAGACTTGACCAAGTGGGTCCCACAGGGAGAGCTGCCCTCCCCACACTAGTGCATAGTCCTCTAATGGCAGTTTCAGTAAGGGCTGCAGGGCCATGCTCACACACAGATCAGCATCACTTGACTGGTGCCTCCCCTGGAGGCCTCTCCACTGTGGGACCTTGGCAGACCTTCCCCAGGCATGTTTGCCCAAGACCTCCTTTTCATGGGGAGAGGAGGAGGAGTCTTGAAGACAATTGTCTTCCTTCTGATTCAATACTCAGTGCTTTTCCGCTCCCAGCCTTTTCCTGACCTTCCATAAAACTGCAGGAGCCTGTTGTTCAGGGTTCCTTTGATAGTGAGACAACTCCACATCTGTGCTGACCCATGTGATCCTTGATAGAGCTGTTTCATGAAGGAAAAAAAGGATGGGGACTGGACCGTCAGGGCTTTTTCCAGTTTAACCTCAAAGGTTTGTTAATGTCCTTTTGTCTTGATGTCTTAATTGCCTACTCCAACACCTGGCTCTCTCTCCAGAGTAGTTAAGCTCCTGATGGCTGGGGATAAATTTAATGACTACTGTTTTGTATAAGTTGAGGTTAATCTAATTAATTTACCTAGAGGGAAAATTCTGACCTCTATCTCTGAGACCTCATCTAAAACACAGAGGTCATGAAGATAAATCTGGCTTCTGCCTTCAAGGAGCTTACAGTCTGGTGAAGATGATAGCTGGATAGCTAGACATAACAATAAAACCACAGCTGTTCCCTTGTGATAATTTCTGTTATGAGTTATGTACATTGGAATATGAAAAATATATAAATGGTACATAACCAATTCTAGGAGGTCAGGGCAAGCTTCCTGGGAGAAATGCTGTCTATAGGTAGACACAGAGAGACAAGAATCAAAGCCTCTTCTGAAGAAGGGTTAAATAAATCTCAGGCAGATAGGCTATGCATGACCTGCTTCTTTTATCTGTCATTTTTGTTGTTCAGTTACTTGCTAAATTTTAAGAATTTTATATATATACATTATATTTATAATATATATATAATATACATGTATATATATATATATCTTCTACATATCAGTGCTCTGTCAATTCAGCCTAATTCTGGCAAAAGCATTAAGGACTTCAATATTTACCAGGTTTGAAAGGGGAGCAGTCCTTTGAATTAGAATTATTTGAAAAATGTAGGGCTATTTTGAAACAACTACCCAATTGAAAATGCATGGACACTATAACTATTATACTTGCAGATGCATACAAAAATACTTTTATTGTCACATGGGCACAAAGATGTATATTGAAAGCTGTTCACTGAAACAGTATTTATAATAATGAAACCTGGAAGCAACATATCTCTTAATGGGGATATAGACAAGTAAAGTACAACATATACATGTTATAGAAAAAAATGCAGCCTTCTCAAAAATGGGTAAGCTGTATAGATATAGAAAAGAAAAAAGCATTGTATAAATAATATGTACACTTTAATAAAAGTTGTACTAAATTTTAAATGTAATATAAATATCATACCTTCTATATATATAAAATTATCAAAAAGACTGAATTATAATACATGAAGAGTAGGAAAAAATAGTTGCACTGAGTTTTATATTTTCTGAATGTTTAAATCTTTCCACACAATATGTAATAATTATACTTTTAAAATGAAATACACTAAGCAATAATAAGGAGCTGACCACTGATGTACTCAATAAGAACAAATTTCAAAAAACAAGATGCTGAGATAAAGAAGACAGAAACAAAATAATGCACATGTATGATGTCACTTATACAAAATTTAGAAAAGATATATCCTGTACATAATGACAGAACCTCCATCAGTGGTTGCCTGTGATCAGGGATTGAGATGGTGAGGGCATGTGAGAAGTTTTCATATATGATGGAAATGTGCAGGGGATATACAATTGTCAATATGCATCAAACTGTCTAATTTAATATATGTTTTATTGTATATGATAAATTGATTTTCTAAAAATCATATACACTAACTCAAACTTCTTATAGCTGAACACATTTTATATTAGGTGTTTATCTTATATTTACAGATGATGTCTAGTAAGCCTCAGAGATGTCCAGTGGGATCTGGGATTTGAACCCATGTCTATTTCAATTTGTCCTCTCATTCCCTTTTTACACTCAGCTTTTCTTTTAACATGCCCACATTTTCCCTACGACTACAAAATGAAAATAAACAGAACCTTTATTTTTAAGCTCTTATCCTACTTTGCTTTCTGTGCAAATGTTTTAAAATAATAGTTGACATTTATTCCTTCTACTTCCATACCTCATCCATCTCTTGCATTCTAATGTCCATCGCCCGCTTACTGAAATAGAGAAAAAAGTCACGATCATCCAGCACTGCCAGTGATTCTCAACTTTTTAAGTAATTGACTTTGTGTGTTTCTTCAGAACACTTTCTCCTCTTAAGATTTCTGGTTCCCTTTTATGTCTCCCACTGCCTTTCCATCATCTTTTTGTTTGACTCTTTAAACTCCTCCCTTTTTCCTTTTTTTCCCATGGTCTCTTCAAATATATCTAAACTAATGCGTTCTGCATACTTATTTTGAGTCTTTTTGTGAGGTCTAGTCCAACTGGCAAAATATGGTATCTCAATTTCCTACCATAAACTCATCATATCTCAAATTTAAATTTCTCATCTTTCTTCATGCAAAACACCTTGAACCTCAATTTAAACTTCATCATATTCTTCAATTTCTTCTCCCTTTGTTTTATTACACAGCTTATTTTGGCAAAATCCTAGGGTATTTTAATGTGTTTTTCATGTGCATCACCTCTCCATATATTTACAATTGTTCTGGCAAAAGTTTATATTGATAATTAGTCTTAGTGATTATAATTATGCCCTACTTTTGCTTTCTGTAATTCATCCTACACACTGTTGCTAAGTAATAATACCACTAAATCACAGCTCAGAATATATATTTTATTGCCTGCTGGTTTTCTATATCTATGAGAACATTTATTTCGAATGAAACAAAAACGATTAAACACGTAAAGCTGGAGCACTGAAAAGCACCAGGCATGCTAAGGGCCAGGGATAGACAGATGAAAGAGCATGCCCGCTATCTTTCTCTTAACATTCAAAGACCCGTTAATTTCCATTTCAACATGCACTTTTTGTCAATTTTGTTTTCCACAGATCACTTTCAAGCATCCTTTGAAATAAACCCACTAAGATCATTTTTCCCAGAGCTTGCCCGTTTTGTACCTCTGCTGAGATTTTTCTCATTTCCTGGAATTATGACAATATTAAGCATAACTGTAAAAATTCTAAGTATCATTTGTATAGCGTAATAGTAGATCCAGTCCAACAGTGCCTAGAAACTTGCACACACCATTGCATTTCACCCTCGCAACAATTCCATGTGGTTGGTTCAGCTATGTCTACTTCACAGATGAAGATATGGAAACTCAGAGGTGTTACATAACTTGCTACCATCACACAAGTCACAAAATCAAGCCAGTCTGTCACCTAAGAAACCCTAACCCTTCTCACTTTAATACACTACCTTTATTATCCTACATTTAATTTATTTTTTATACAACTTTGCTCATGACAATCTTTGTTCCTTTAGTTGGAAGTTTTTATTCCTCAATTTCCCAAGGGGAAGATTTTACAGGTTAAACATTTTTGTCACTTGTCACTTAGCAACTTAACATTCTAGTCATTTATGCACAAGTTACTATCTCTACAAAACGTGAACAATTTGAAGATGAAAAATTATGTATTATATATCTTAAATCCATCCCACTGTAGTTCTTTACAGAGAGACAGTACTCAGTAAATATTTATAAGAATCATGACATGCAAATGTGCATATTCTCTCTTATTAGAATATAATTTAGAAAATGTACTTGACAAATGAAAAGTAGCATCAGATTATTCTTGTTCAAAATATTCCTCCTTGGTAAACACTAATACCTGGACTAATTTTTGAAGACTGTACTTCTCAGTGGGGGAGAAGAATTGGGAAAAATTCTTTAGTGTGAGAATATCTTAGGGGAAAAGCTATAGTTTTAAAAAATACTGCTTTGTTTTATTCCAGTTATTTCTCTTTTATCAAAATTTTAAATTTGTATTTATAGTTGATATAAAACGATATGTATCTTGAGAGATCGTGTGTCAAAATAATTGAAGGACATTTTTTGTCATTTGTGTGAAATAGAAGAAGTGTTTTAAGTGTAGAAAATGATACCTGTGTGTGATAGAAATAAGTTTATATCCTATGAGCAGGTAACAAAAAAGAAAAAAAAAACTAGCTGGACTTTTTCTCTTAGGATTATATTTTCTTTGGATGACAATGATAAAAGTTCTCTTTACTATGTAAATTTGCCAGTCTAAGAATAGAGTGTATTATCTTACTGAGTTTCATCTTGCACCCTCAGCATCTATTATTCCTATTAACTCCAAGTTCAACCTCCACCTTGCCCTTTTCTTCTTCTAATTGGCAATGGGCAAATCATTTCTGGTCAAGATCAGGAGCTCATCTGTGGCTCTAACCTTGAACATCAATCCAACTCAAGAGCGAATCCCATTAACATCAGACTAATAAATGCAAAGATCCAGTGAAGAACAATAATGAACTTTGGCTCACACATCAGTCTTTGGCACCTCAGAAACTAAGTGTAATGAACAGTAGGTCACAACCTATAGCTTTCATAAAATGTCCCAGTTGAGATAGCATATTACACATTTAAAACAGTAATGGTGCCAGGTCATTCTGTCAGACATTTGTCAAGTAAGGATGTGCTCCTACACATCTAGCTCTTCTAGTAAACCAATATTCAGACACATAATGGCTGCTTGTATCTTCAATTATCTCCATCCTATCACATTCAGAGCTGCTTCCAGAGAGTCCAATACTACAGCCTTAGGCTATGGGATGACGATAGCATACCCTACAAACACATGAGAGCAACCTCAAACCTTCTAAATTGTGCCAGTTCTGGGCTTCTTTTGCATAATCATTTATCTGAAAGGACAAGAAATAATTTGCAATTTCAGAGTGTGATGCAAAAGACACAGATATTGCTCAACTTCAAACTACTGAGGGGAAGAAAAATAAGATTTTGGTTAATGTTCTATGGTTCAAATATAGTAAAGTCATCCTGGATTCCTGTCCTGACCTATTCTTTCCTTACCATTTAATTACTTCTTTTCACCTACTTTTCTCTTTTTTTTTTTTTTTCGAGACGGAGTTCCACTCTTGTTGTCCAGGCTGGAGTGCAACGATGCGGTCTTGGCACACTGCAACCTCCGCCTCCCAGGTTCAAGGGATTCTCCTGCCTCAGCCTCCCGAGTAGCTGGGATTACAGGCATGAGCCAACATGCCCAGCTAATTTTTGTATTTTTGTAGAGACCAGGTTTCACCATGTTGGCCAGGCTGGTCTTGAACTCCTGACCTCTCGGCCCCCAAAAGTGCTGGGATTACAGGCTTGAGCCACCGTGCCCAGCCATTTTTCTCTTTCACTTATTTATTTTAGCATCCTTCTCTCTTCTTATAGCTCATCTTTTATATGTGCTTATTTGAAAATGCACAATATAGTTGTTTTTGATAGACTTAAAATGATTTCTGCGGCATGCTATGAATATGTAATACCCCCGCAATCCACCCCACACATATTTTGAGAATTTTTATCCTTCTTTGTAAAATTAGCCAGAAGTCCCTCTGTTAACACATGTTCGCTTCCTCATTCTTTGGTGAATTTTGTTTTTCCCATAAGACGTATTTTAACACGGGAATGAATAAATGTATAGGGAACATGAGACAACCTGTTTAACATCCTTTTTATATGCCATTGGGGATGATAAAGAGCAATGGTCATTTACTTAACATCTTGGTAATTAGCCGCTTGGAGGGTGCAAGGCCTGTAACCAGTCTTTTTGATGCATCCGCCATTTCTGCAAGTGGCTGGAGTGGAGGTACAAATGAAGCTGAATAGAGGAGAGACTCTGCAACTGTATTCACTGATAGAGTAATTGCCTGCTTTGTGAATAGGATGCATTCTGGAAGTATATCAAATATATAGAGCAAATACTCAAATAGAATAGAACAAGAAATGGTTACAGTAAAACAAACTTTTCGTGATATTTACCACTTTTTATATTTTACTCAAAGTGTATATACGTTTTTTTTATATGCAAGATAAACTGATAATTTCAACACAATCTGCACTACTTTGAAAAATGTACACCAGGGCCTTTCATGACTTGTATACAGTTCTGGCCATTCTCTTTATCTCAAACCGAAGAAAGATATGATGCAGGCAGTAGTTTTTTCTTAGTGCCTCATAGTATCTAATAGCAGAAAGTGAGCCGCATAGCGGAGCACATTAGTTTTTATGTATCTACAGGACAGAAGGGCCACTTAGCTGATGGCTCCAGGTTTCCTTTGATATAATCTAATGTTCCTATGACCTCAAAGACTGAACACATTTCCCTAAGTGCTTCACTTAGCACCCAGGAGCAACTTGGAGTCTTCGCAGAATAAAATCCATTATTTTAATGTAGATTAATACATGTGTACTTATATCTATGCAGGTCTATAATAGTTTATTCCTATGTAAGCTTTATTAAAAGCATTGGTATGTTTTACATAAAAAGTTAATGTGAATATTAGAAAAAAAGGACAATATTAAAGCAGTTTGTAGAATTTGTTCCCCCCCCAAAATGAATGAAATACACAATAGATTTTAAAAAAAGAAACAATGAAAGTGAAATGAGGAAAAGGTCTAATTTTCCCCTTAAATTTCACAATGTGTCAGCCAGACAGAGCATAATTTTGGAATAAACAAAAAGCCAGGGAGTCAATACAGGGTTTCTCCTTCTATCAGATATCTTGCTTTGGCAGAGAGTAAGAAGAACATCTCAAAAACCTCATTGGTGTTCTTAAACTGAGGGTGGAGACAGGGCGTGCAGGCTACTTGAGGAAAGACTGGGATGTGTACATGGAACTCACTTGCTCAATATGAATCCATGGCAACCTCAGGTCTAGGCCAGAAGTCCTGTGGAGTATTTCCTTGCAGAGGTTGGTGGTAGAAATGCAGTCTAAGATGAGCCATTGACTCAGCTGGAACTAACTAAAACCAGCAGAGATGGCTAAGCCACTAAAGAAACAAAACTCAACAAAAAATATGGTTGTCCAAATGCCCATCAATTGATAGACTGGATAAAGAAAATGTGACACATATATACCATGGAATACTATGCAGCCATAAAAAAGAAAGAATTCATGTCTTTTGCAGGGACATGAATGAAGCTGGAAACCATCATTCTCAACAAACTAACACAGGAACAGAAAACCAAACAGCACATGTTCTCACTCATAAGTGGGAGCTGAACAATGAGAACAAATGGACACAGGGAGGGGAACATCACACACCAAGGCCTGTCGGGGGCTGGGGGGCAAGGGGAGGGAGAGCATTAGGACAAATACCTAATGCATGTGGGGCTTAAAACCTAGATGACAGGTTGATAGGTACAGCAAACCACCATGGTACATGTATACCTATGTGACACAATTGCACGTTTAGCACATGTATCCCAGAATTTAAAGTTAAAAAAAAAATGGTTGTATCAAACCCCAAATCTTGAAAATATAAAAACTTAAAAAAAAGTAACCCACTCCCCTTGAAGCAAGGACAGGCGCACCTTACACGGGAACAGACATCCTCTGAAATGCAATTATTTTGCCTTTTGTTTGTTTGTTTGCTTTGTTTTTTCTACTATTTCTTTTTAATTGAAAGAGTAATAATGCAGTAATAGAATTATAACTGGTGGCATCACAGGGCTGCATATTAGTAACCTTAGCTGAAGAGCTGTATAAATATCTCATGCACATGTTCTGAAAGAAGTGGAGCTTTATGGCCCAGAGTGATAAGGAGGAAAAAATAAAAAATGCCTCCATACATTCAAATTTTATTAAAAGTTGAATTAAAACATAAACATGTGACAGATTTTAAAATTTAATTATTTGCAAAAGCGTTTTTTGAAATTTACCTCCTAATGTTTTGCCTATAAATTCATGTTTTTATAAATGAACCTTTTTTATTGCTAGAAGGTGGCAGGTTCCACATCATTCTTATTCCTATATCATTATTTTTATAAGATCTAAGAACTGAGAAATCTTGTTCTCAGAAATAAGTGGATAGGATTGGAAGGGCTTTGTTATAACAATGACATTTGATTCTTTGAACTCCTTTGAAGAATGACAACAAAAATTGCAGGTGTCCATTGACAATTCAACTAGGTATTTCTTCAAATTTTTAAAAGTAATTAAAAATCTAAAACAAAACAAAACAAAACAAAAAACACAAATGATTAGCAAGATTTTGTTACCCAGTCATCAAGGTGACTTACTTTTGAGAAGTGGAGATGAATGTTTTGAATTGCCCCTTCGTTT